>NC_000001.11:56826562-56978077 GCF_000001405.40 Homo sapiens | reverse complement strand
GCAAGTACTGCAACTGGGTCATGACTGTTAGGTGGAACAGCCTCCCACCAAAGGATAGCCAACTAACAGAACTCATGGATGGTAGGAGTAACAGGAGATGGTGCTAACGGGACCAGAGGGTCAGAGCAGATGCTGGAGCAGACTGGAGAGGCCTGGCTTATTCTAGAGGGCTTGGAAAGTAGCCTGCATGGAAAGGACAAGCCAGCCCCAGAGACGTGTAGTTCTTGCAGAACTCACTCACAGGCTGTCCTACTCCCAGCCTCTGAGGACACAAGTCATAAGATTTGGAGGGTGTAAGAGTCCTCAGCCACTTATTTTGCAAGCATCTGAACATAAGCCAGCTTGGTTGCCAGGTTCTTTGGGTCCTTGTGCCCCATTTCTAGTAGCTGGCCTCTGGGCATCATCTACTTTCCAGACCTTAAGGGAATCCAGGTGACTCTGGCTTGGATGTGTGGGCACTTAGGCTTGCCCTGCCTCAGCAAGTCTGCCTGGATCTGAAGTGCCTGGGGGCTCCTTCCCACAGGGATTGCTACCTTATTGCACAGGTGAGAACCAGAGATTCAGAAGGGAGACTCCACCTGCCCCAGAACACACACAGGTGGTATGCAAGTGTCAAGAATGGGCCAAACCGCATTCTGTAGCGTGAATCGCATAACGTTTCCTCCCACTCCATTCTGCCTCGTAGAAGAATCTTAAATCTGGGGCTAGGTTTTAGGCATCAGGCAGATCTCTACATTGGAAAAAGCCATCTCTCTGCCCTCTTTCCACCCTTGTTTAAGGAAGTCCTTGAGGTTCAGAGTCAGGGTCCAGACAGGGGTGACCTGAGAACTGGGATAAACTTCCACATAATGGCATTGGCAGCAACTTGGATGAAGTTGGAGGCCATTATTCTAAGTGAAGTAACTCAGGAATGGAAAACCAAATATCTTTATGTTCTCACTTATAAGTGGGAGCTAAGCTATCAGGATGCAAGTGCATAGAATGATATAATGGACTCGCAGAGAAGGGTGAGAGTCGTGAGGGATAAAAGACTACACATTGGATATAGTGTACACTGCTTGGGTGACAGGTGCACCAAAATCTCAGATATCACCACTAAAGAAATTATCCGTGTAACCAAAAACCACCTCTTCCCCAAAAACTAATGAAATAAAGTAAAAAACTTCCATTTGATGTAGAAGCTGAATAATTATAAAAGCTAATGCTTGTATAATGTACTCATCATGTGCCCAGAATTGTTCTAAACATTTTATGTATGGTTACTTGTTTGATCTTCACAGGAGCCCCATAAGGTGGGCACAATTAGCCATATTTTCCAGACAGGAAAAATGAAGTTAAGAAGTACAGCTAGTAAGTGTGGTAGTCCACTTTTGCACCATGCGTCAGGGCTGCAGAGCCTGTGCATGTAGCCTCTCTCTGATGTCATCCCTTAAGAAGACAGGGAATTCCTCTATACCTGGCTCACATATAGAGATTCTGGTATCGGAGAGCCCAGAGGAATAACAATTGCACACTTTGACAAGTGCAGCTATCCAAACCTGTATCAGAGTTAATAGACAAGTGCATTCAGGAGAAACAGAAACTTGTAAAGTATAATAATATTTTGAATCAAAATCAACACCACATGTATACTTATAAGACTCCTAAAATGTGTTGTTTCTATATTAAACAACAACAAAAAAGGTAATTGGGTCAGTCAGTCAGTGTATTAGTCTGTTCTCGTGCTGCTAATAAAGACATACCCAAGACTAGGTAATTTATAAAGGGAAGAGGTTTAATGGACTCACAGTTCAGCATGGCTGGGGAGGCCTCACAATCATGGCAGAAGGCAAAGGAGAAGCAAAGGCACGTCTTCCATGGCAGCAGGCAAAAGAGCTTATGTGGGGGATCTCCCCTTTATAAAACCATCAGGTCTCATGAGACTTATTCACTATCACAAGAAAAGCATGGGAAAGACCAACATCCATGATTCAATTACCTCCCACCAGATCCCTCCCATGACATGCAGAATTATGGGAGCTACAATTCAAGATGGGACTTGGGTGGACCCACAGTCAAACCATATCAGTCAGTATGATTTAGGTGTCCTGGATTCATCCTTGACTTTGACCTGCTGTTTGTGAACCATGTGTAGGTAGCCAGGTTTATGAAGCCAGGCTTTTCCTCTCTAGCAAATTCTGCAAAGTTGGATGCTGACTGCATCTAGACTGAAATAAATCTTCCCTTCCGAAAAAAGGGCTCTGGTTGCTAAACTTTTCACATCAGTGGATACATACAGGAGCCCATCAAGTCAATTGTCTAGCTGGAAGGCTGTTTAAGTTGGAAATTATGAAATTAACAGCCAGAACATAACCAATGATGATATTAATCGTTACCATTTCCTGTCATGTGTGGCACTGTGCTAAGCACTTTCACAGCCCTGAACGGAAATGCTAAGTAACATAGCCCATGCCACACATTCAGTAAGTTGTAGAGACAGGCTCTACCAACAGACGTTCTGCCTGCAGAGCTGCCCTCTTAACGTGTGTACAATCCTAGCCTAATTTCATATGTTAGATTTACCACACAGTTAAGCAGAAATATACAACAAACTGTAGAAATGCTAGATTGGAGTTCTGGTGTCAGATTTGATGTCTTCCTTGGCAAAGGGAATGGCCTCTGGTCAGGCAGGACCGGGTTCTCCTTGCTGTGGTTTGCTTGTGAGATCTGGTGATCATCTTTAGAGGGCCCCTGCTCTTCTCTCTCATGCCCCATCTTTGGATTACATCATTTCCATTCATCAAGGGTCTTAAAACCCTTTGAAGAAAGATCTTGTTCACTGTACCTGCCAATTCTCAAAGTTCATTCTAAGTCTTTTTTATGTTTTTACTGTGTTTTAGAGAAAGGGTCTCACTCTGTCTCCCAGGGTAGAGAGCAGTGGCGTAATCCTAGCTCACTGCAGCCTCAAACTCCGGGGCTGGAGCAATCCTTTTACCTCAGCCTCCCAAGTAGCTAGGACTACAAGTTTGTGCCACCACACCAGATGGGGTCTTGCAATTTTGTCCAGGCTGCTCTCAAACTCCTGGCCTTAAGCAATTCTTCTGCTTTAGCCTCCCAAAATGCTGGGATTATAGGTGTGCCCCACTGTGCCCAGCCCTCCATTGTAAGTCTTAAGTCCTGATCAAAGAATTACTGCACTTGTGAGTCTGGACAGGATGTTTCCCTGTGGTTTGGCGGTACAGTGGCATACCTATCTCTAATCAAAAAGTTCCACCTACCTCTGTAAGCCATATTCTCTATCAGCATTGGATAAAGGAAGGTACTCGCATATTCTTTGGGAGAAAGGGGCTCTTTTGATTAAAACTTGTATTTTTAAAAAAGTCCTTCATTAAGCAATGCCACTTCCTGAATGTGGTAACTGGTTTTCAGAGATTGTCCCCAATGCACCACCCCACCTGTATTGTGTTGCTGTCTCCCAAATTGACTCTGGGCTGACCCTGTGACTCATTTTAACCAGTAGAATATGATGGAAGCAAGTCTATGCTAGTTCCAGGCTACAGCCTTAAGAAGATGTGGCAACTTCTGCATTTCTACCCTTGGGAGCCCTGAGATGTCATGTGAGAACTTGAGTTGCACTATTGGAGAGACCCTGTGGAGAGGCCCGCTGGATGGCCACCTGAAGAGGAGGAGGCCTGAGGAGAACCACAGCCCCAGCCAGGCTGTCCAATCTAACCTTCAGCCATCAAGCTTCTGAGCCAAGTCAACAGACCTGTGAGTGGAGAAACAACTGGGACTGTTCCAGCCCCAACAGACATCACATGGAAGAGAGATGCCCCTTCCTTCCGGGCCAGCCTGAATTCTTGAGCTACAGAATTGTGAGTAATGGTAACATAATTAATGTTTTCAGACACTAAGCATTCTGGTAGTTTCTTATGGCTGTATCAGATAACAGAAACCCTGACACTGTGTAACATCAGAAATTGCATCATAGTTCAAAAGCCTGACTAGTCAATCACTTCGCTCTTCGGTTTGGGGCTTCACAAGCACAGGGGAAGTTTCCCAGACTCCCCTTCCACAGCCACCCGACTAGTGTAGTCAAGAAAGTACATGGTTTTCTACTTAAAGTTACCCAAGTCATAATTATAGATGTGTTCAATTACTTGGGTTTATTTCCTCTATGAAACTGGAAACTCCATGAAGGTAGGGAGCCAAGAGTGATATTTACTGCTGAATCCTCCACTTAGCACAGAGTCCAGCACATAGTGGACACTGAACATATATTTTTTGAATGAATAAATGAACTTATGCAGTGTTTGAATTGGTATGAAGTTTGGGTCGGGCACAGTGGCTCACACCTGTAATCTTAGCAATTTGGAAGGCTGAGAAGGATGGATCACCTTAGGTCAGGAGTTCAAGACCAGGCTGACTAACATGGTGAGACCCCGTCTCTACTAAAATATATATATAAATTAGCTGGGCAAGGTGGCAGGCACCTGTAATCCCAGCTACTTGGGAGGCTGAGACAGGAGAATTGCTGGCACCTGGGAGGTGAAGGTTGCAGTGAGCCGAGATTGCACCACTGCACTCCAGCTTGGGTGGCAGAGTAAGACTCCATCTCAAAAAAAAGAGAAGAAGTTTGGAGTAGCTGGAGCATAGAGATTGAGAAATTGTTAATTTGCTAGGCTAAAAGTTTGAACTTGATCGTGTAGTGAGCAAATGAACAGATGCACAGGGTGGCCTAAACTTCACCATTTGCCACACTTAATCCACAAAATCAATGCAACTACATAATCCATCAGTTGTTTCAAGTCCCCCAGGGAATTAGTTTCAAGGCCCATTGCCAAGTAGAATCCCATTTTTCCTCCCCACACATTTCTAGCATTTCTGGAACTATCTGGAGTAGAAAGTGAGTAATCTTTCAATTGTCTGTACTTATATTAAAAACATTTGTGAAAATGAGTTGCTCTGAGTTGAACTGGAGATGTTTCATTGCCTATCCCAATGATGTCAATGCCTCATGGCTCATGAGGTCAGTAAAATATTCAAAGATTTTTAGGAACCACAAAAACGACTTAACAGAACATATGATGTACTGTACCTCCAGTATTAAACATATTGTGCCCACACCTGGCCCTAAATAACTAGTACCAAATCAAATTGTACCTAAAGAGCTATCTCTTCAGTCCGCCCTCTTGCATTTGGCGAGCACATCCCAAATGATGGAAACAACATCTGCGAGGTCAGCTCTCCTCTCAGCACTCTGGTGAACCCCTCGCCTTGGAGCACACTTGGAGCACCTTTTGCATCCACCTGGTTATACAGTGCTCATTGTCACCATCAGTGCTGACCAACCGTTATTAGTACACATCCTATCTGTATTAGTCCATTTTCATGCTGCTGATAAAGACATACCCAAGATTGGGCAATTTACAAAATAAAGAAGTTTAATGAACTTACAGTTCCATGTGGCTGGGGAGGCCTCACACTCATGGCGAAAGGTGAAAGGCATATCTTACATGCTGGCAAACAAGAGAAGAGAGCTAAAACCATCAGATCTTGTGAGACTTATTTACTATCACGAGTACAGCATGGGAAAGACCTGCCTCCATGAGCCAATTACTTCCCACCGGGTCTCTCCCATAACACATGGGAATTCAAGATGACATTTGGGTGGGGACACATGCAAACCATACCACTATCTGTTCCTGAACTATATGGCTTACACGGTATTCTACATCTAAGCCTCTTTTACAGCCAGAGAGAAATAATTACCTATAATTTATAAGACCATGCACCATAGAAGAAAGAGGGCACCTGTGCATGTCCACAGATAAATAGATATCCATTCTTTATATACAGAAATATACATAATAAAGGACACAGAATTTCCATATCTGTCAACACAGAGAACAAACAAAACCCTAGAATAGATAGCCTCCTCTGCTAAATAGACACTGCCTTCCTGCCACCACCACATCCATGTCATAGACATTGACCACTTAGAAGGCGGTTTTCAACCTGTGACTCCTTTCTAGTCAATGCTTGCCAGTTTTGTGAGGTGGAGAATGAGGATTTGGGGAAGGAGAGTGTATTTGTTTAGGTAATGCTAGCCACTATAACAGAAAAACACTGACATCTCAGTGGCCTACTACAATAGAAATTTCTTTTTTACTCTTGCATAGTCTAATCAGAAGAGAGTGCAGAAGATTCTGCTCCAGGCAGTCATGCAGGAACTCAGGCTGCCAGAGATTCTGCCCTCTTTAGCACTAGCTTTCACGATTACCATGGGTACCCACATGTAGCTGGCATATGAGGAAAAAAGAGAGTGTAGGATTTCACACTGGAGGTTTATCATGGGTCAGACATAAAACAGTACACACCCCTTCTCCCTATATTTCATTCACCAGACTGCAGTCACAGGGTTAAGTATAATTGCAAGGGAAGCTAGGACATGTAGTGTAGTTTAAGAGCAAAGAGATATGGGCTCCCTACACGGCTGTTCTCTTTGCCACAGGAGGATAATTTTGCTGGCTATCATTATCTTTCTTTTAATTTTTTTCCTTCTTGTTTTTCCAGTTGGGAATAGAGCCACTTCTTTTTCTCATTCGGGTTTTATTTTCCCCAGATAGCCCTCCAATAACCTTGTTGCCCACTCAGCCCACCTACACTTCCTTCTGGGAAAATTTTGAACCACAGTGGTGATAATACCCATGCAATGGATAAGGCATTCCAATATGCATAACCACCTTCGGTGATGTAGTTATCACAGCAGTCAGCTAAGGACTTTTGAAAATCAGGTTCCCCAGGCCGCAAGGAAAAATCTACAGTGGAAACAGTAGACGTCGGCATTTCCCAGACACTGATTAAGGCTCTAGAACAACAGGAGGGAGATAGATTCTGTCCTCCAGGATCCAGGGAAGGTGAGCCTGGAAGACAAGGAGCTCATCTGAAGGTGGACAAGACCATGCTGTAATCCATGGGGCTGTGTGTGATGAAGGGCGAAATGCGTGCTGTGTAGGGTGGTGTCACCCTGAACAGCTGCCAGGCTCAGCCCCAGGGACTTTATATACCTTCCTTAGTAGAGAACTATAACCTCAGTCATCATAATTCCACCTTTGCACAGAGCTGTGTAGTGTACAAAGCCTTTCACTGTTCACTGAGGGTGTGTTATTTTCTTCCCTCAGTGACATAAGACAGGTATTATGTTTATGCCTTCCTTTCCATCTCTACTCTCTCTTCTGCTACCACCACCCTAATTCAGGCCTGCATCTTTTCTCAGTGGACTCTTAGGACAGCCTCCTAAGGGGTCTCTCGGCTCCAATTTGCCTCCCTCTAATCCATTCTCTACACTGTAGCAAGAGTAATCTCTCAAAGAAAGCAGTCCCTTTTCTTCTCCTCCTAACACCCTTCAATAGCTTCTCTTGCAGTTTGGATAAAATCCATGTCATTAGCATGCTCATCAGGCCCTACCTGATATGGCTCCTGCCTGCCTCTCCTGTTTCATTTCTTTCCATTGCTCATGCTGAACTCTGTGCTACAGCAACACTGAATGGCTTATGGTTCCCACAGACCCAGTGACCTTCCTCACCTTTGGATCATAACTTTGATGACCCCTTTATCTGTAATGCCACATGCCCTCCCTTTCATTTGCTAACTCCTCTTTAACCCTTAAGTGTCACCTCATTCCTGAGAATACTTTTCCAATGGCCACACACATACTTCGCTGATGCCTGAGCTATGCTGTGTAAACCTCTCTCATTGTCACACTGTACTGCTGTGATGTTTTACTGTGCCTGCCCATCTCACTAAGCTGTGAGCTTTCATAGGGAAGGTCCATTACACACTCATCTTTATACCCAGTCAAGTAGCATTGCACTTGGCATCTAGTAGGTGCTCAATAAATGATTGTTGAAGTGTTTTATCAACAAGCCTGCATTTGAAACTCAGTAAACTACAGCTTAGAGGGCTTAAGGGGTTGGTCCAGGATATAAACTAAGTCACAGGAGAAATGAGATGTCTCAGTCTTTCTGAATCCTCAAATACTTCACACTATATCACATGATCTTCAAAAGGAGACAGATAATTATGTTGGCTGAAAAAGTTGTATCTCTTGAGGAAATGTTTTGTTTTGTTTTACTTCTTTTAAATCTTAAGTCCTTTTGAGAATCTCAGGAAAGTTATGGATTTTTCCCCCAGAAAAATGTATATACACACCAAATTTTTTATGCAATGTAAGAATATATTAAAAGTATATTGGTCAGAATGGGGTAGGTATTATTGCAGCAACAATAAACCACCAAATCCCAATAACATAGCACAACAAAAGTTGAATTCTAACTCACATGAAGTCCTTTATGGGTCAACATGGGCTCTCCTCCATCCAATGACTCAGGGGTTTAGGCTTCCTTCACCATAAGACATTGTTCTGTCAACACATGCTTCCAAATCCACAGGACAGAAGACAGAAATGGACAGGGCACACTGGCTCTTAAGTGCTTCAGCCCGAAAGTGTCACATGTCTGTAAGAAATTGCCGAATGTCCACGAATTCCTTCCAAAATTGTAGGCATACCCCTTTGCAATGTGACTCTGCTCTTCCTCCCATCAACAGGTATAAGCTCTGTCTCTAGCTCTTGAATGTGGGCTTGGCCATTGCTTCAGCCAAGGAGACATTAAGAAACATCAGGCAAGCAGAAGTTTGGAAAGCACTTGTGCACTGGGGCTTGTCTTTTCTTGCTGCTTTTTGAAACCATTAGATCACCCTGAGATCAAGCCTGAGTTAGTCTATTTGGAGTCATGTGGCCCATTTACTTCATCACTTCAGCCAACAGCCAGTGCTAACTGACAGACAGAATGAATCATCAGGCAGGTGAGTAAGGCCATCCTGGACCAACCAGGCTCCTGCTGACCTACCAGTTGGCTGAACCAAGGCAAGGCCAGCACCCATTTTAGCCTAGGCCTATTTGATGACCCAAGGAATTGTGAGCTGATAAATGATGATTGTTTTAGTCTACAATTTTGGGATTATTTGTTATGCAGCAAAAGCTAACTAATACAAAAATAGGTACCAGGAGTGGAGTGCTGCCATAGCAGAAACATGAAAAGTGGCATTGGCTGTGGAACTGGGTGGAGCCTGGAAAATCAGTCAATAAAAGTTGGAAAAACAACAAACTGTTAGTGGATCCGCAGACCTAGAGTTACAAATTCCTTCATATCGTTTAAAGGCCTAGAGACATATGATCAGTTTCAAAGCTCTCGCATGGTCAGAGATGAGATCTATAGCCCTGAGTAAGAGCAGCTAGACCAGAAGAGCAGTGTGGTGTGATAACTGTGAAGACTTAAAGCAGTGCTGGCACATCCTAAGGGCAAGGGGAAGCTTCAGAGCTAGAAAAAGGAGCATTTAGGAGTCAGAAAAAAAAGTGTATCAAGCCAAAGATGTCCTACTAACCAGCTGTGGAAACAGCTGTGAAGCCCCATCTTAGAGGCTTGGAAGATGATATTATGTTTCTTGGCTTATTGTCAAAATCAAACAAGATGATGTATGGGAAAACTGTTAAATTGTTAAGAACTGTCCCTGAAAAATATGTGTATTACTATCACTAAAGCCTGAGGCTGCCGTCCTCCAGGCGGGATCTCAGGTGAGCTGCACTGGGAAACCACCAGGGGGCGCGATGAGGTTGGAACTCCGGGAGACCTGGGGGCGCCTGGAGCGTTAAGAACCCCAGGGGAATCTATTGGGAAGGCTTTCTTGAGCAAGTGACATTAATATAAAACTCGAATAATGAGTCGTATTTAGCTAAGTGGCACATACTCTGGACAGAAGGAACGGCATGCAAAAATCCTGGAGGTGAGAGAGCACAGGATTCACTCGTGTAACTGTCCTCTCTAAACCTGCAGGCTCCTCCGTGAGTACATCAGGTTGAGGAGGTCGAAGGGGAGCCCTGTCTTCTAAGGGTTTGGCTTCTCTTAAAGGCAGGCAGATAGGAGACAGGACATGGATCTTTCTTGAAACACAAGTTTCTGCTTGTTTACAAATGATTAACCACCACAATCAATTGCGTCAAAGTTCAGGTCAATTCATCCTTTGGGACAACGGTGACATGGAGTCTTGCACCTAGGCTTATGACAACTGGAATGCATCCTGGGTGGTCTGGCAGCAGAACTTGTGTTCTGTGTTTTGGACACAATTAATGTGAGAGGACTACCATCTTCTGTGGCTTTCCCATCCATCCCCTCACTATACTTCCTTATTTGATTCTCCAACCCCAACCCAGCTACTCGGCAGGGGTGGCAGGAGGGGGAGGCTTCCCGTTTTGTACGTTCAAACCCAAAACAAACTTATCAAGTAGGTAGTAATGAATTATTATCCCTATTTCACAGATGAGAAAACAGAGTCTTAGAGAAACTCTGTAACTGTGTTTAAGGAAAGCAAATCCAGTGTTCTTTCTACTAGCCCACCCTCATACCTTGCAAGCTGCCTCTCCCATGTGAGGTTCCTCACCCACATCTGCAATAGCAAAAGCAACAGGACGCCATCCAACACGTGGACTCAGCCCTTTATGCGTTGCAGGTTGGTTTTGTAAATGCCAGGTTGGTGCAGTTTGGACTTTAATATGTTGATTCTGGGGAGTCAGGGATGGTTTTCAGGAAGGTAGGTTTGAGAACCTCAGTCATTTGTATCTTTTGGGATGCAAACAATAACAACAACAGCACATATATATTTAGATAATTATTTTCATGTAGTTATTTCCTGGGTTTTTTTTGTTTTGTTTTGTTTTGTTTTATTTTGAGACGGAGTCTCGCTCTGTCACCCAGGCTGGAGTGCAGTGGCGCGATCTCGGCTCACTGCAAGCTCTGCCTCCCAGGTTCACGCCATTCTCCTGCCTCAGCCTCCCGAGTAGCTGGGACTACAGGCGCCCAACACCATGCCTGGCTAATTTTTTTTGTATTTTTGGTAGAGACGGGGTTTCACCATGTTAGCCAGGATGGTCTCGATTTCCTGACCTCGTGGTCCGCCCGCCGCGGCCTCCCAAAGTGTCATGTAGTTATTTCTATAATGCCTATTTGTTCAACAATTACACATTTAGTATTTGGTCTGACTCTCCCAACTGTGAGTGGTAAGTTGTCATAGTCCTCCTAATTTTACATATGAAGAAACAGAATCAGAGACAGTCAATAAAAATACCAGCTCACTTATAGAGAGTGCACATAGAATGTGCCAGGCAATGTTCAACATGTTTTGAACATGTTGTGAAGATTAAATAAATCTAATTTATTTAATAATAATAATTATAATTAATTATAATTACAATAATAATTAATAATAATCTAATTTATTTAATCTTCACAACAACCCGGTGAGGTTGGTATTATTATTATCCCTGTTTTATTGATGAAGGAACTTAGGCCCAGAGAGGGTTAGTAATTTTCTCTGGCCACACAGCTGGTGAATCATACAGAAGCAATTTGAAGTCAGGTAGATGGGTTCTAGAGCCCTACAGCCTCTTACTGACTTGCTCAACATCATGTAACTGGAAAGAGGCAAACATGGAATTCAAACCTTGGCCTGTCTGACTCCAAACCCTGAATTCTACTAAGTAATAATAGCTGACATATCTGAGCGCTGAACATAGGCCTGTTCTAAACATTTCCTTATATTAACGTGTTTAATTCTCACCACTTAGCAAGTAAGGAGAGTAAGGCACAGAAGTAAAGCAACTTGCCCATAGTCCAAAGCTGTTAGGTTGGTGCAAAAGTAATTGTGGTTTTTGCCATTAAAAGCAATGACAAAAACTGCAATTACTTTTGCACCAACCTAGTCAGTGGCAGAGAATGTACTTGAACCCAGGCTGTCTAGACCTAGATCCCACAGTCCTTGCCACCTCACTAATAGCCTGTCCACTTGGCAGCTTACCCTAAAGTTACAGAGGAATAAACACCATGCTGCTACAGATTTTTCATTATTCTGGTTGGTTTCCAGAGTGACAGGTAAGTTTTTGGTCTGTGCAAAGTCTGTTTCCAGTCACTAGTGGCTTTCTGTTTACTTTGCAGAGCTATTTGCTCTTGGGGACAGAAGCTGACAGTGGCACTCACAGCACAGGCTTGTTATGGGTCTAGCAGCCTCTGTGGCATCTCCTGTCACATTGGGAAAATGAAGAATTCCAGGACATGGGCTTGGAGGGCGCCGGTGGAGCTATTTCTTCTCTGTGCTGCCCTGGGCTGTCTCAGTTTGCCTGGCTCCAGGTAAGTGACAGTTACCAATAATTCCCTGATCAATAATATGACAGGGAAGGTGCAGCCACATGATGCTGACCATCTCTTTGTTGCATGCCTATTGAATGAGGAACGTCTCTTAAGGCAATTTGCATGCATCTGATAACATACTATCAACAACTCTTTTCAAATTATTGTGGAACCAAGTAGCTGATTTCAACAAAAGTTCCTGTAAGAAACTGACAGGTTTAAATGTATTTTGTCATGCTGAGAAGAATAGGATATTTTTTCTGTATTCTGAACAAAGCCTCCGTGTGATTCTTTATGAAAAAGAAAGTTTGTTACATACAGAGGACAAAAGAGCAAATTCATGAAATGATTTTAATAAATGAGATTGACCTACTCTACCTGCTCATCAACCCCAAATCTTCAGATTCTCAGGTTCTTTCCCACCCCCTTCTTACACACACACACACACACACACACACTCTCTCTCTCTCTCTCTCTCACCCCCCACAAGGTTCCCAGCAGTTAAATGCTGGCTGATTTATTTCATCATTGTTAGTCTCCATTAACAAGGTGCAAAACAAGCTAAAGAAAATATCCTAGTGGGAGCTCAAACTTGGGCTCCAGTGATAGAAGAGCCAGTGACGTAGCAATGTGGGGATGCTCCGTGTGCATGAGAAACCCCTGCCATGAGATGTTGAAGTGTGCATGTGTCCCCGGCCTCCATGTAAACACTCCTGTGGGAAGAGGGACTGTAATTCCATTCCTTTTACTTAGTCCAAAAATGAGATCTGAACAAACCTTTCACTTTATGTGAGGAGTACCTCCTACCCATGGGACACAGCCTCTGGTCTCAGTTCTGTTGAGCTGCCATTAGGAACCACAGGATGATGAGCATTCGTTCACTATCTATTGGCCACTCAATAAGTAACAGCTATTAGGATGATCAAGAAACTCCATTTAGCCCAGAGAATAACTAAGCTGCCAAGACCTTCCTTGTGTGTACTGTGTGTACACAGAGAAGCATTCAGGACCCAAGAAAATGTCTCCGGAATGGAGGACTTAAGGGAACCATAGCAACCCTATCTATAGCATTGTGCCCCTGGGTGGAGCTTTCTGTTGGGCTCTGAGGATACAGAGATGAGCCTATGTTCTCACAAAGAATGCCAACATGTGAGCATATGCTATGTGTACCGTTACAAAAGATGCTACGGGGCAGCCAGGAAACAAGGAGGGAATGATCAGCTCTACAGGGCATAGGGCCTGGAAAGGCTTCTAGAACAGAGAGTGTGAGGGCTGAATCTCTACAGGTGCGTGGGTGTTTGCCGAATGGCTAAGGGGTTGAAAGGTGTGCCAGGTAGAGGGAGCAGCACAGGCAACGGTGCGTGAGTGTGAGAGAGCTGGCTTGCTCCTGAAGCTTCCAGACACCTCAGTGGGCCTTGAACACAGGTCCCGGCAGGAAGTTGAGAGGGATGAGATAGAGTAGGAGTGAACAGGCATCATGTCATGGGCAGAGTTGGGGGATGCTGGAGTACCAGCTAAGGAACTTGAACTATATCCTCACCACAATGCATTGGGAAGCCATTGAAGAGTTGAAGCAAAGGAGTGACACGATCAAATATATATATTAGGAAGTTCACTCTGAGGTAGGGAGTGGAGGGGCAAATTGTTGATTAGAGTGCAGTCTGAGAAATTGTATTTAATTGTCACTACAACATCATGAGGTGGGTGTAATCTCTCCTTCTCGCTATGTAAGAGAACAAACTGATCCTCAGTGACAAGAAAAGATTCACGCATGTGTGGTGAGGTTTTCAAACCCTTACCTGAATCTGGGTATAGTTCTGACATCCACCTATAATCCCCATGGGGCTGTCTTGAACACGACAGGTATTTGAATTCCATCTGCGAGTAGAAGAATAGTCTTTGGTTCTGGAACAGAAAATGCTGAGACCACCTTCGTATTGGCCAAAAGAGTTTTTTGTTCTTACTTACTCTTGTAATCAAGTCAGATGATGAAATCACAATCACTGTGTCGTAAGACCTATTATGTATTGCCACTCTGTGCCAGCAACTTGGAAACATTAGCTATAATCCTCACAGCTATTCCAGGTAAGTGCTACTGTTTACAGTTTCACAGAGAGGGAAACAGAAAACATAAGTGTCCCAAGGCTATCCACTTAACAAACAGCTAACTATGGATTCAAATCCAGTTTCATTCAGGTCTCAGAGTCCCTGCACTCTCTCTGCATCCTTCTGCTTCTCACTAATGCGTTGTCCCCTCCCCACCCCCCACCACCCCCCAACCTCCACATTGTGTATCTGACTTGTTGGCCTCTGTGCTGTTTCTCCATCTCTGGGCCACACATTTGTTGCCTTGAGATGTTGCTTTAAATTTCATGTCTACCACAGCAAACGACAGAGAGAAGAGAAATTGAAAACCTGCCACCTAGAAGCTGCCCCTTCTAGCAAAGAAAAAGGATGCTGTTTGCAAAGGGGATGCAGCTGCTTAACAAATTGTGTGTGACAAGAAAGTTGTTGTGTCAGGGCATTTCTACCGAAAGCCAAAATATATTGACGCACCCCATCTATATAAGCTGATGGCTTGCAATTTACTGCTGACCCAATCCTGCTGTACTGGATGGATCCATCTTTATTTTGATCAGAGACGCCTGTTAGGAAAAGAGTGGGAGACCTGGGCCCAGTTAAATGTGTCCTAATGCTGGCTACAGCATTTTCTGCATCCCCAGGAAAGACACCTCCTTGCCAGTCCTTAAGTAGAGGGGGCACATGTTCAAGGAGCTGAGCAAGGGCGTTTACTGTAGCTCTATTTGCAATCGCAAAACATTGGGAAAATATAAATGTCCCTCAAAAAGAGAAGGAATAAATTAAATGCAATGTGTGTCATATGATAGAACATCCAGACAAAAGAAATGAACTAGATCTCTTTATGAATCAACATGGATAACTTCAGAAATGCAATGTTGATTAACAAAAGTGAGTTGCAGAATCATATGTGTAAGTATGAATAAAGCACACACAAGCAATACTATAGATAGTGTATAGACATCAAATTATCTAAAAGAGACTGGAAGGAAACACACCAAATTCATGGCAATAGCCCCTCTGGGGGTAAGGTGGGGGGAGCAAAATCGAGGCTGCTGTAAAATGCAGATGTCAAAATTAAAAATTTACAAAAAGACTTGAAGCAAGTGTACCAAAGTGTGAACAACTGCCAATCTGGATGTGAGTACATGGGTGTTTATTATATTATTTCTTGTACTTCTCTAGGCATGCTTAATTTTTCAATGTTAAAAGCATACAGAGGATTTTTAATGACAGAAGTTTAGTCAGTTGGTCAAAATGTCCATCAGGTTTGTTTCTATAGAAATCCATAGGGGTGAAAGGCTCATGTTGTTCCCACACACAGAGGCCCTGAGGGAACCTAGAATTTATGTGGCTCCTCGTTAGTCCCAGGAACTAAAGATGCTGTTTAATCCTAGCCTTTCTTTCAGATTTGCATTTTATAGTACTAATAAACCACACACATCTCATCCGATGTAATTTACAAACATACTATTTATTCAGCTGGTTACTTCATTATATTGCCACCTTCCATAATGAAAATTGGGTGCAAAAATGAGAGATGTGGTGGATATAACTACTTTTTACCAAGTTCTTTCCGTAAGTGATCATCTTGCCCATTAACAGGCTTTCAAATCTCAGAGACGAAAATAATTGTGACTCTTAATAGCTAGTGTGTACATTACTTACCTGCTCAGTCTCACCTATGGCCCTGGAGTTGTCTTGGTTGCTAAAAACATAATGTAACAGTTTTGTAGTTGAAATAGGAAGAGGGTACCCTGCAGAGCTGTCAAATACATACTTAGGAGAAGCCAAATCACAGACAATATTGTTTTGTCAAACCTGGGCAAATTAGTAGATAAGAACACACTCTGAAGCCCCCCACTGGTGTGTAGCATCCTGCCTCAAGTAACCGTTTTAAAGTATCCACCTGTGGTTTCCAGTAGTCTTTGACCTTTCATTAAAGATCCAGCTTTACTAGGCAATTGATTTTTGCTGGTCTCTGTGGCGGTCATGGACACAGATTTCACCGTAGTTAATATTATCCTCTTTTTAGGACTTTTGCCAATTGAGAACATATTGTTAATGACCTTGTCGGGAGTGACATCCTGTGTATATGAGATGGTGAAAACTACGTGATGCTCTTCTCCCTAATGACTCAATCCTGGATATGGAAAGAAAGAGGCCTTACATAGATGTTGGAAGAGATTATTGGAGTCAGTGCTGGCCCTGTTTCCTTCCAGGCAGCATGGGGCAACGGACAAAACCCGTATATACTCTAGAGCCTAAGAGACCTCGGCTCAGATCGTAACACCACTGCATACCAGCTGCATGACCGTGGATGTGTCCCTGTCTCTCTGGGCCGCTTCCCTCATCTGCCCAGGTGGCAGTGCTCCACAGCTGTCTTCCAGCATTGCTGTGAAAATAGAAGAAGATAGCGTGGGTGATGCTGGGCCATTGAGCACAGCCTTGACATGTCTGTCATAGGTGCTCAGCAAACCTCCATTCCTTTTGTCTTCCCATCTCTTTTTGTGCCCTGGAAAGGAACACAAATTACAAAGAATCTTACAGTGTAATACACCCTTTCAATTGTAAGAAAAAAATAAGAATCATCATACACACTTCATATTACAGAGGAAGAAACTGAAGGCCCAGGCAAATTAAATAGCATCCTCATTCATCCACTCATAACCCAATGTGCTCCAGGAAATGAACCAAAAGCATTGCCTTATCTCTGCTGGTGGTGCTGAGGTTTCCAAGAATAAGTATCCTTCACTCACTTCTCCTCTCAAGAACCATCTCCTCCTCTTCCATAGCTTTCCATGATCAGATCTGTACCTAGCACAAATCTCTCATCCTGAGATCCAAGCCCATATAGGAACTATTTACTAAATGAGTCTCCGTAGGTGTTTCATGGCACCTGGAACTCAGCATGCCCCACCCGAAACTCAAGTCTTCCCCATCAAGATTTATTTTCTGCTGTGTTTCCCACCGCCCACACACTCAAATGGGAAAACAGCATCCACTTAAAAGGCCTTCCTTTAGCACCCCACCTCCACCATCCACCATCACTTTCTATCCATTCCACATGAGAAGCATCTCATATGCTGGTTCTCCCCATCCTCTCGCCCTGGCCATTGCCATGATTCAGGCTTATACCACTCAGTGGGACTGCTGCTGCCAGCCTCTTCCTTGTTTCCCTACTACCAGGCTCTCCTGACTCCCACTGGGCCTGCACAGCTCCAGCCATGGGGCCTGCATGCTGGAAATCCCTGCCCTCTGGATAAAGTCCCATAGAGCTAGGGCGTGAGGCATGTTTCTCACAGATATGTTTCTCTAGCCATAATGTTAGGTGCTTACTACATGTTCAATAAATATTTGTTGGATTAATTAACCTAAATTAATTAATTAATTAAGGAATGGAATTAATTAATATTTCATTGTTGGATTAAATATTTGTTGGATTAATTAATTAATTCCAGGATAGGTTATCCTGGAATGATAAACTAATAGCCTTGCACAAGTGAGCAAATATATATTTATTGAATGTACAAATAGATGGTTGGATGTATACTTAATTCCCTTCTGATACGTGACTCTCTTCTCTCATAATGACTTTTAGAGGTGAAAGGCCACATTCCTTTGGGTCAAATGCAGTCAACAAGAGCTTTGCTAAGAGCAGACAGATGCGGAGTGTGGATGTTACCCTGATGCCCATTGATTGTGAGCTGTCTAGTTGGTCCTCTTGGACCACATGTGACCCCTGTCAGAAGAAAAGGGTAAGCAACCAGGCCTGGGACAGCTCTAAGCTTCCAGGAGCCTTTGTCCCCAGCAAGATCGGCTGAGCCATTGCTAACAGTGCCTGGCACATAGTTGGCCCTCAATAAATGTCGGCTAACTTAATAAATGCATCCTTTCCTTCTGTGCTTCCAAGCAGCAATAAGTTCTTTCCTTTGGTTCTCCAGTGTTTTCCAAGCACACCCAGCCTTTCTCACTCTACTAGCTTCCTAATTAGACTCTCTGCCTTGAACCTGTTCTTTCAATCAATCTTTCATCATGAAACAGGGGAAGCAATCATAGTGTATGTCTGAGTTGTCTTTGCCCACTTGGAAACCATTCACAGTCTACCCATGACCCTTAGGATCAAGTCCAGGATCATGGTTTTCGAGGATCCCTGTGACCGAATCTAGCCTACATTTCCAGCACAATGGACACTTGTATGACTCTGGCCTTCACTCTCTCTGGGCGTTTCTTCATGCTGCTTTCTCAGGTAGGATGACATTTCCCACTTCCTTCACTGGTGAACACCTACTCACAATTTGAAACTCCTACTCAGGAGCTGCCTCTTTTGAGAAAGCTTTTTGACTCCTCCTCAGCCCTACCTCCAGTTGGATAAAGCAATCTTTTATGAGCTTCGATAGCTCCTTATTACCCTTGTATCCTCACATTTATCACATCATGCCACTTATTTTTCACCTTCAATACACAGTGAACTTGTGAAGGCTGATTTAATTCTGCATTTTCAATGTGTAGACCAATCTCTGGCACAGAATAGGTTCTTCATAAATATGTGGTGTTTGATCTTGTTCTGTTTTCTGATATCTCTACAGGGAAGGCAATGTTGTTGTTACACTTTCTGTTAAACAGACAGATAAACAGGAAATCAGAGCAGATAAATGGCTTCTTGAGTTCACCTAGTAGTAAATGCAGACCTCAAACTCAGGCTACTGTCCAGTATTCCTTGTATAGGGTTCTTCCAGTGAACACACTCAATTTCCGCAATATCTGTCATTCAGCCTCCTTGGTCATAGGAGGGCTGACCCAGGATCCTACTTCTGAGAACAATAGATATGCCAGAGAAAAGAGAATGGTTGCTATTTCCCCAGATCCTTGGGAAACCAAACCAGCCATGGGCTTAGACTCTAAAGAGGCTGTGGAAGTAAGCCCAGGACAATCACCCAGTTAATTGGATCAATGGAGAGAGCCAAGGTGGATCATTCAGTTCCCAAAGTAGGTTTTATTGCTGAAGGTATCAGCATTGATCCAATTATCTGGATAATTGCTTCATCTGCACCATAAACTAGGAAGACTCAGCATGAGTCAGCCTGGCAGCCAGAGCTCCTCTCTCAGAGTCTGCCGCAGACGTTCCCTCAGCTGGTTATCATCCCTGTCTGCAGGGTCACTGGCTGGGGGCTCAGCAAAGCCTCTCAAGTCAGATTGGGTGATATATTTCCTGCACCACTTACACACTCCTGGAACCCACTTTGCCTTTGGAGCCTGGAGCTTTTTAGTCTTTTTTTTTTCACAGTGTTCTCTGCAAGCCTTGTCCCTGTCCTGACAGGCTCTGCCTTCTAGAAAGAATGACCCTTTGCAAGTACAAAGGGCATAGGTGAATGGTTATCTACATTTCTTTTTTTGGATTTCCAAGGCCAAAGTATAGATGCCATAAAGGTAATAACTATGCCTTATTAATGTCATCCTGCAAAGCAGGGGCTGCTATCCTGGCTTGCCTCCTGTGTTCTTTTGTTTACTAAAATCTTGACTGCAACTAACTTTTGGAAATCACCCAAATCTGATCACTTTCTTCCTCTGCAGCAGTTTCTCATTGCCGCAGGATAAAATCCTGTAATCACTTTCCTAAGGCCTGGAGGCCCCTGTGTTATCTGCTCTTGTCTATGTCTCCCTCCCACTCTGGCCACTCTCCTACTTGTGCTCTTCTCCCCAGCCACAATGAATCTTTTTAATGTTTTCTGGAACACGGGAAACCTTCTCTAGTCCTCTCAGCTTTGGTACAGGAATTTCCTCCACCCATATCACTCTTCTGAGCCCCACTCTCGTCAGTTCTTCACACCTGTCAGACATTCCTACTCAGCCATCAAGTTTCAGCTGAGGTGTCACTTAGTTCTTCCAAAGCCTTCCACTTGGGCTTCTCCTAAGTTTGCATGAGGGACTCCCGATGAGTGTGCAAAGCACTCTGCCTCCCCTGTCATGGCACTCATTGCACTGTGCTGCAACTGCCTGGGGCCCAACCCCAGCATCTGTGACCTCCTTGAGAACAGGCTAGGGGATACAATTACCAATAAAACTGACCAAACAAGGAAACAACAATAACATCTACCTTTTCAACACTGGGTGGCTCAATCAATCATTTTGGAATAAATGCATAAGATGGTAGAGATATAGCAATATTGACTGCTAAAAAGCAATAATAAAGAAAAACAAGTCCAAGAAATTGAATGCCTACTATACATCCAACAACATAATGAGATTATATAATTTAAACTTCATAACTGAACATTTAGATAATTCGTGATCCCTATTTTACAGATGGGTAAATTGAGATTCATAAATATTAAGTAATTTGCCCAATATCACACAACTATAAAGTATCAGAATCAGTTGTAGCTCCAAAGCCCATGTTTTTGCATTTATAATATACTGATGCCTTCAGGAATAAAGGGGAATACTTGAATCAACCCAGTGGAGTAATTAAGCTGAGAGATAATTTATTTTGTGTTATTGAACTGGCTACATGAGTCCATCTACTAACCTTTGACTCCAGAGCCCATGGAGTCAGCATGGGCTGACTTTCCCACATTCAGCAAATCTTGACTGATCACTGCAGAAGCAGAGATCAAAGCCAAGGTCCCTGCCCTCAGAGAGCTCACAGACTAATTGAAGAAACCATCCAGCAAACAGCAAATCACAACATAGCTCCTTAAGTATATATAATGGGGGGAGCACAAGGGGCTGGGGGAATGATGATCAGACATTTCAGTGCTCTTGTGAAGCCCAAATCCTGGCTCAAGACCCATTTACACAGAGTATCCCTCAGCTCCTGAGATCTAAGGCTTTACCCTTGGTTCACCTGGCTCCTCTCTGCTACAGTACAGGTATGCCTACTTGCTCCAGCCCTCTCAGTTCCATGGGGAACCGTGCAACTTCTCTGACAAGGAAGTCGAAGACTGTGTTACCAACAGACCATGCGGAAGTCAAGTGCGATGTGAAGGCTTTGTGTGTGCACAGACAGGTATAAATCAATGTAGGAGTAAGAGGGGAAAGCCTGAAATGAGGTAATGGTTCTTGATGACCAAGGGACAGGCCATGTCCAGTGCTCAAGATCAGGGTCATGGGGCAGCTCAGGAGGCCTCCTTGTCCTAAAATCTCTGACCTCCTTTCACATGCATTATTTTATAAAAATCACCTTATAATGTAGGTGTTATTATTATCCTCATTATATACCTTAAAAAATCAAGACTTGAAGAGGTTACTTCTTCATATAGCAGGTAAGTGGAAAAGTTTCTATTGGAAATTTGAGAATTCAGATTACATTCATTGACATTAAAGACACAAAAAGTATGTGTGCTGGAGTCAGAAATGTTGGGTCAGGCCTTATTTTGACTTTGTGACTAGCAGAAGTCACTTAACCTTTCTGCATTTTGGCTCCCTCAACTGAAAATTAGGGGTGATGTGAATACCTTACAGGTCTGTTATAAGCATCAAGTGACATCATAGCTATGAGAGCTCTTTGTAGACTGTTGGCTCCCTTAGCTCTCTCAGAGGTCTGGGGTTAAGTAGAATATGACAAAACCTAGAACGGTTACATAGGGCAGTTAGCATCATTTATCACTGATAAATCTTTAGAAAGATATTTCCTGTCATTTACATTTCTGCATCACTAAGTCCAAGATGATCCTTAATCCATGATATACCCGGTAAAAATTATTGTTTATTAAAAGGAAGAAAAGAAAAAAGGACAGATGGATAGACTGACAGAAGGAAGGAAGGAAGGTAGGAAGAAAGGAGTACAGAAATGAATAATCACCTGCTGCAAAACTAAATAAACACAACTTTTCAATTCATTCAGAGAATCCAAGCAAACAGATGGTTCTCTATTTCTCCATCTCCAGCAAAAATGAGAATATTTTGACCCACATTTTCTAGATGGAAGTTGCAATTCTCTACATTTACTGTACCCATGTGGACTGTGCATGGGGATCTTTCAAGAAAGAGTTAGGGATTCTTAGAGCAATTTCTAGGGGTTATTGCAAATGCAAAATTCTATCCAATAAATCTGAGAGACTTTTTACAGTGTATCCGTGGACTCATTATGGCCTGTGTTCCATGATTCTGATGAAAGCCATGATGGTTATTTGGACAGGCTTTAGTTTAAATGTCTGGTAAGAAACATTTGAAGGCCAGATTGCTATTTTTCTGCTTTTAACACTCCAAGAACATTGGTTTAAAATGACCAGACATATCTGAGGAAATAGGACTACCTGTCTTATGGGCTTTATCTCCCAACGATATACTAATAAGAAAGGAAATCAATCAGGAGGAAAAAGTTTAAAGGAAGCAAAAGGGATGCAAATAATTTTTCATAATCCAAATGACTATGTTGTTGAAGGCAGTGTGGTTTAGTGGGAAGAATTTGTGATTAGACAGTTAAAGGTTTCAATCCCACTGCAAATATTTACTAGTTAATGTGCACTTGGCCCTCAAAAACACGAATAGTACTGATAACACTTACACAGCACTTCCTAGGAGTCAGTACTGTTTTATTTATTCATTTAAACTTCGAACAACCTTATGGGATAGGTATTTTACTTTCCTATTTTACAGGTGAGTAAATTGAGGCAGAGAGGTTAAGTAACAAGAGAAAAGTGGCCCAGCTCACACAATTTACAGGACACACCCATCCCACCCCCTCTTTCCAGCCCCAGGGAGAGAGAGTCCAAACTGTCCTGCTGCTTTCTGGAATACAACACTGGCCTCTTCTGCTGAGGGAGGTGGCAATAGAGGAATAAACTGTTAGTGCCATAACCAATCTATCTGGATACAGGATGACTAATTAAAACAGGGCAGCATGCAAGGCCTGACAAAAGGTCTGGCACTTGGTAGGTGCTTATACTATGTTAGTTCCTTTCTTGCCAACCATGTGGCTGTGGGTAATACTCTTTCTCCATTCTAGGAAGGTGTGTAAACCGCAGACTTCTTTGCAATGGGGACAATGACTGTGGAGACCAGTCAGATGAAGCAAACTGTAGAAGGATTTATAAAAAATGTCAGCATGAAATGGACCAATACTGGGGAATTGGCAGTCTGGCCAGTGGGTAAGTGACCATTTTTCTGTGGCGTAGATGGGAAGGCACAGCATTAAATGGAATTCTGGCGGATAGAGAATGAGAGAACTGATATAAACAGAGGTCCTCACTCACCTTTCTGAGAAAAGACTGTATTGTAAGTAACACTTCCGGTTGCTCTCTGAGGGCAGTTCCAAGCAGCTCCAGGAACACGTCCCATGGACAGATATAGGCATCAGGAGGGCTGGTTTGGAACACTGGGACAGAGCTGTGCATGTGTGGAAACCACACAGGCTGCTATGCAAGGGCTGGGGTAGGGAGGGGAGCCTTTATTTTAACACCTGCAGTGTGACCATGTTAGGTGCTTTCTAAGCCTTACATTCTTGAATCCTATTGACAACTTGGCAGGCAGGTTTTATCCAGGTCTGCCCCTATCTCCCAGCATTGGTCCCTCCAAGAAGAGAGGTCTCTATTTAGACAGTGAAGGGATGGATTTCCAGGGCTTTTGGGGATCTCTGAGTTGGTCCTGTCCTCTAGCGAGGACAGAGGAGCAAGTTCAGAAGGGGCCACACTGGCCTGGCATGCACCTTACTTTCCTGCCATATTTTGCATCTTCTCAGCCTGCAGGTGGAAGAGGGAGACCTTCCCCTCATATGCTTTAGGAATCATCATATGAGACACAGCCTGGGGAGGGGAACACTGACCCCGAATGGGATTTACCTTCTTTCTAAAAAAACCCATCAAATCTCAATTTTTAAAGTTGTCACTAGAGACTCTTCACATGGGAGGCTTCTCTCAGGATTGCCTTATAAGCTAGTTATTATAATTCCCACCTTGCAGATAAGGAAACTGAGGCCCGGGAAAGTTGAGTGAGTTCCAGGGTCACCCAGCTAGAGTGTGGGATAGCAGACATTCAAAGCCAGCAGTAGGGTCTGACAGGACCCTGTAGGAGGGAACTGAAGGAGTGGCTCACTGGCCAGGGCACCTCGGGCAAGGCACTTATCTACGTGGAACTTTAGCTTTATCATCTGCAGGAGGAAGTTAATAACATGCTTCTTTCAAAGTGCTGTGAAGATTGAACAAGTGAATGTGACTAACATACGAGGTGCTGGGCAGCTCGTGTGGTGGGAAGAATACAGACTCTGTTCTTGCTCCACTGTCAGATTTCAAAGTCCAGTCCACCCATTGTTCCCGGCAGGGAGACTCTGGGTTAGTCAGTTACCCTCATGTTTCTCATCTGCAAAATGGGGATAATAGTAATACTAACCTCCTAATGATTAATCCTCATAAGGATTAAATGAGCCATTGTGTGTAAATTGATTAGGATGATGCCTCCACAAAGTCAGCACCACATTATATTTGTTAAAGAAAATAAATATGTATACATTATTTTGATACATGGAATATGTCATGGGAAAGAGACCCCAGACAATTCTGGTGAGGAACAGAACCAAGGCCAATAAGTGGAAGCTGATAGGAGACAGAGACTCTTAATAAAAACAGAAATTTCAGTAGTTAGAGATGGTCAAGAATGGAAGCTTGCCTTAGGAGGCAGTTACAAATAATGTCTAAGGAGGGGCTGGATTCTTTTCCTCTCTAAAATGGAGATAACATCTATTGCACAGAGCTGCAGGGACACTAATGAGATGATGCACGTAGCTACCCACTGCTGTGTTTGTCACCAGTTACACCCTCAGTAAACAGTAATTATTGTGAATAATATTGTAAATGCGTTGTGATGAGGGTTGTACGGAAATTAAGAAAACCGCCACTTCAAACAGCACACAGTATAGTGAGGGTGACAAATACATAAATAGCACATTTATCGCGGACCAAGTAGTGTTTTAAGGACTTCATAAACATGATACATGTGATCCTCACAACATCCCCATGAGGTAGTATTTTCATGGTCCCTATTTGCATATGAGCAGACTGAGGCACACAGGTAGTAAGTGGCCACCCAAGGTTTAATTGGCTTGCCCAAGGTCACCTGGGCAGTAAGGGGCAGAACAGAGATTGGATCTCAGACGTCTGGCTCCAAAGTCCACGCACTTATCTATTATGCTACCCAACTCTCGCAAGGCAACTGTAGTAATACAGGACAATAAATGCACAACGGTGCGAGCACAGGGTGTTATGAGGGTCCCTAACCCAGCTGGGCTGCGGGCTTCAAGCACCACAAGTGTCAGTGGAACCTCTCACCATAGTGGCAACAGAGCTCAATCTTGACAGACAAGTCAGAGATAAAACAGTGACTGGGTGGAAGGGCATTCTGGGCGCAGGGAACAGTACCTACCACAGAAGGAGCTGAGTAGACTGGAGCAAGAGCAAGCCTCTTCACATGGCTGGGGACTAGGGCACGTGGCTGTGGTTAAGGGCGGCCATAAATGAAGCTGGAAAGCTGGCTTGGACCAGGTATCAAGGGCCTTGAAGGCTGTGCCAAGGAGTTTTTGTTTTCGTTCAGTAGGGTCTGACAGTCAAGATTAAGCAACCGCAAACTTTAACCTCTTCGCCATCTCTGTCTCTTCCTCACAGGATAAATTTGTTCACAAACAGTTTTGAGGGCCCAGTTCTTGATCACAGGTATTATGCAGGTGGATGCTCCCCGCATTACATCCTGAACACGAGGTTTAGGAAGCCCTACAATGTGGAAAGCTACACGCCACAGGTAAGAGACAGCCAGGTAGCAGTGGAGGGAGCCCCAGCTGAGCACCCAGTTAGCAGGGTCCATGGTCCGGCCTGACAGCCTGCTAGCCCTTTTCTCTTTGAGCTTCAGTTTCTTCATATGTGAAAATGGGCAGTTCCTTCCTCCAGACATTGTGGTGAAGATGACATGCTGTATATAGCAACAGGAGGGCGGTTGTAGAGCAGTAATAATAGAAACCATAATATCAAAAGCTACCTTGAAGATAGAAATAAAGCTTAGGATTTGGAGTCACACTGACTTGGTGGCTCTGCCACTTACCATCCATATAATCCAAAGGCTATGAGCCTCTGTTTTCCTATCTTTAAATTGGGAGTTATAGAGGTCCTACCCTGCAGGGAGAGGATTAGTGAGATAATGTGTGTAAGTATTTAGCACAGCACCTGGCTTAATGGTGAGTCCACAGAAAATGTTAACTCTTTTTGCTGTTGTTATTGCATTCTTATCAAATCCCTGCCTATTAAAAGCAGGCATTACTCTAAGCATTTTATGAAATGCTCTACCAATGTAAGCCCCTATTATGATTGATGTACAAACTTAGAAACATCTCACAGACAGTGGGGTATAGAATAGCCCATAGGACACACACACTTGAGATCCGATGGGAACACACTGGGTTCCAGGACTGGCTCTGCCACAGGTCCCAATTTTACCTTAGGTTAAGTTCCTTTTCCACTCTGGGCCTCAGTTTTCTCATCTGTGAAACTGGGGGACGAGACTAGAAGATCTTGACGGTAATTTCCACTTCCAAAATTGCTCCCTTTTTTCTAGCCGGGTGTGGTGGTGCGTGTCTATAGTCCCAACCACTTGGGAGGCTGAGGCGGGAGGATCACTTGAGCCCAGGAGGTTGAGGCTACAGTGAGTCAAGGTCGTACCACTGCACTCCAGCTTGGTGACAAAGCAAGATCCTGTCTTTAAAATGTATTTATTGCACCATTTTGAAGGCTAGCTCCTCCTTACTCCTCCTTCCCTTCCTCCCCAACACACTTTTTAGCCAAGAAAGAACAAATTTGGCTTAGCGCCAAACACACTCTCCATTGGGGTGTCCAGTGCCATCCTCAAAACCTCTAATTTCAAGGGAGGATTTCACAGCAACCATTACCATCCAGGTGCAAGTGGATCCTAACTCAGGCAGGACATACATGGTAAACTCTCCGCTCTCCATACCAACATTCTTTGAGCGCTGTGCCAGGTGCCGTGCTATGACTTACCAGTATAAGCCCAATCCTCAGAACAAGCCTGATGAAAGGGACCATTATCTCCTCCATTTTACACATGAAGAAACTGAGGCATGGAGAGGTCAAGGCAATTGTCCAAAGTCATCCGACTAGACAAGAGCAGAGACACAGCGCATCTCAGTGGCCATGCTGTAGACCATGTCCGAACTGCTCCTCCTTCCCCTTGTAGCGGCTGAGCTGTTGCACCCTTGTCTGGGAGTTGCAGGCTGAATGGGCAGAAGCTGAAGCTGATGGGAGCTGTGGGCAGGGAGATGACTCAGGACTGGTCACTCCAGGGCCCCCAGGGCAGTACCCTTGGCAGTTCCCCTACACACAGTGCCATGAACACTGGTTTTAGAGCAAATGGCTCTCCTAAGTTCTCTCTAAGGCACTTTCCTGCCCTTGTCACTTGATCCTCCAGCCACTGCCTTAGACCAGACCCTCATCAACCATCACCTGCACTGCTCTTACAGCCTCCTCATGGGTTTGTCTCTCTGACTCTAAATTTTTCCCTTCCAATCCAACCACCAGGTTGTCCCACATCATCTTCCTGAGGCTTGATCTACTCCCTCTGCTAGGTCATACTTGAATTACTCCCAGATTTCAGGAGAAGTAATTCAAAAGCCTATTTTGATGTCAGAATATCCTCTCACAACATCCCCTTTTTCTCCTCGCTGTTTCAACTTCTCAATGAACTGCACTGCTATCCTTGCAGTTCCTGGGGCACACCCTCCCCTTTCCCACCTCCATGCTTTTGCTTAAGCTGAGCCCACAGCCCAGAATGTTCCCCTGCATTTTTGCCAGTTGAAATACAAATCAAAAACCAACCTCTAAGTTTTCACCCAAGGTATTGATCAGGTCTGTCTCTGCTACTGAACCAAGAGCCCTGAGGTGGGGACACAAATCGGCCCTGATTTCTCTGTATCCAGAGCATCTAGTTCAGTATCCAGCACATGGTAGGAGTAGAGTGGCTGTCTGCTCACTGGTATTGAACTGATTTGAGTCAAATGAAATAAAAAACCCTTTCTTTTTTCTTCTTTAGACCCAAGGCAAATACGAATTCATATTAAAAGAGTATGAATCATACTCAGATTTTGAACGCAATGTCACAGAGAAAATGGCAAGCAAGTCTGGTTTCAGTTTTGGTTTTAAAATACCTGGAATATTTGAACTTGGCATCAGTAGTCAAAGTGATCGAGGCAAACACTATATTAGGAGAACCAAACGATTCTCTCATACTGTAAGTATGTCTTTGTTGCTTTTAAACGTATATGTTGTCTTACTCCATTTTCTGCTGCTGTAACAAAACACCACAGAATGGATGATTTATAAAGAAAAGACATTTACTTGGCTCACAGTTCTGGAGGCTGGGAAGTCCAAGATCAAGGTGCCACATATAGTGAGGGCCTTCTTGCTGCATCATAACATGGTAGAAGGCATCACATGGTGAGGAAGTACATGCAGGAGACAGAAAAAAGGGGGCTGAACTTCATTCTTTTATCAGGAGCCCACTCCTACGATAACTAACCCTCTCCTGAAACAACAGCATTAATCTATTCATGAGGGCAGAACCCTCATGACATAATAACCTCATAAAGGTGCCTCCTTTCAAAACTGTTACAATGGCAATTAAATTTCAACATGAGTTTTGGAGGGGACATTCCAGATATAGCATATGGATCCTTTGGAAATGACATGCCCCAAATGTGTCTATATTCCACGTTACAACTAGTTCTAACAACCAATTATCTTTCTGTTGTCTTGAAATCTTCTCAAAAAAAAAAAATAGCTAACTTACTTTTTAGAGAGACCAGGCAGAGATAACCTTCTCTAATTATTTTCTTTCATTTTCTAATAAACTTTTCCCTTAGGGTTTCAATAAGCTTAAGATGTAGCTTTGAAGACCAGAACTTCTCTGGAGACTTTTTAGCCCACAGGAATTTGACTTTTATCCCAGACATCCAGCTGAAATTCCTCTCTGGAATGTTACCCAAGACCTCTTCTCTGACTTCTTAGGGTGCTCAGTGGAGATGACCAAACCATTGCTCTCCTGTTTCTCCTGCTTTCTTTCTGCTCCTTATCAGCTTCCTTCCTGGGTCTAATATTCCCATCTGTCCTTTATTTAATTCATGGCCCTCTTCTCAATGTACTCTCCAATCTCCCCTGGGTGCCTGCCCTCTTCGACTCACTTCCTCTTTTACAGGGACAAGCTATGAGCCTTCATCACTGCTTCTAACCTCTTGGTTAAACTTCAGACCTTCCCTATCCACTCTTCTGAGCATCTCACCTGGGCATTGTGCTGACACTCCAAGGCAATGTCTTCTTCCTAAATTTTCAATGGATGTTAATGGCATATTCCCCTCTACTTTTCCAGGCTAAGAACTGAGCCAGAATCATATCTGGCTCTCACTTCTGCTTCATGTCCACATCTGTTGATTACCAAATCCTTCAGTATTACTATTCAATATTTGTTTACACTAACTCCTATTACCTCTTAATCCATGTTCTTTCATCTCTTACTGTGCCCAACTAAATAGTTTGTCTCCTAGCTTTCCCCTTCAAACACATGAAGAAATATTTCTATGATACTAATCTGATCATATCATCTGCTTCCTATTGCTTACTCCCTCCCCATTTCCTTCTCTCCTTCTCTCCCTTCCAGCTCCCTGATTCAAATTGCCAGTTATAGGATGTTAGCACTGGGCCAGGCACTATCCTAGAGATAGACTAGGGATCTGTAGCCTCTAGGATAATATTCTGGCCTTCGTGTTCACAGTGCAGTGTAGTAGGAGCAGCAAACATGAAAGCCAATATATTATTCTTTTTGTTTGTTTGTTTGTTTTGTTTTGTTTTGTTTTGTTTTTGAGACAGAGTCTTGCTCTGTTGCCCAGGCTGGAGTGCAGTGGCATGATCTCGGCTCACTTCAACCTCCACCTCCCGGGTTCAAGCGATTCTCCTGCCTCAGCCTCCCAAGCAGCTGGGACTACAGGCACATGCTACCATGCTCAGCTAATTTTTTGTATTTTTAGTAGAGACGGGGTTTCACCATGTTAACCAGGATGATCTTGATCTACTGACCTCATGATCTGCCTGCCTTGGCCTCCCAAAGTGCTGGGATTACAGGTGTGAGCCACCACTCCCGGCCATATTTTTCTTAATTATATCAGTTGTAATACAACATGGCATATGCTATAAAGGAAATGCAAGCAAGTACAATGCAATCCTAGAAAAGGGAGTGCCAGGGTGCATCTGGGACCTTCAGGTTGTTATCAGATTGGAGGCAATGGCAAAGTAGAAATTTAAAAGGTAAGTAGGTATATGTCGGGCAGAAAAGGGAGAAAATAACATTTCAGGGAGAAGGAACAGCATGTGCAAAATAATATGAAAGAGAATAGCAGGCTTGGGGAACAGTGAAAAGTTGGATGAATGCTGACGTACGTGGTTGGTAGAAAGTAGTAAAGTGTGGAGAAGAAAACTTCAGGAGTGTAGAAGCTGAAGCCAGAGAGGCTACTGGAGGACAAATTGTGATGATCTTATACTCAGAGTAGGGGAGCTGATTTTATTCTGAAGACAACAGCAAGCCATGCAAGGTTTTGCTTTAAGCCAAGAGGAGCATGGTCATAATACAATCTGAATTTTAGGATGTCAACTCTGACTGGGGCATTGAAGGAGGCAAAAGAAAGGAAGGAGATTAGGGAGGAGGCTTTTATAATAATGCAAACAAAATGAGATGCAACCTAAAATATTCAGAAAAATAATGAACAGAGTACCTAGTGACTGCTTATTTAGGAAGGGTAAGGGAGAAGGAAGAGGGTCATAGGTCACTGAGGCAGGCCTAGAATGGGGCGAGAGCAAGCTAGGAGACAAAATGAGGCCCCAGGGCAATAGGCACCAGCACAGCTGGCATGGCTTTGTAGAACTGAAGGATTTAGGATTAGGCCGAACATATCTCACAGGCGTTTGCCACCTTCCTCTTTTTCTCTGCCTATACAGCACTATAGGGAATGCTCACCTAGGGTTGTACTAACACTTTCTAGATGTTTATACTTCATCTGGCATCACCAGCTTTCAGTCTATTCCATACATGGAGAGTCACCAAACTTTCTGTAAAGGTCCAGATAGTAAATATTTTAGGCTTTGTGAGACTGCAAGGTCTCTGTTGCAACTATTCAACACTGCCATTGGAGTGTGACACCAGTTGTAAACCGTATGTAAGTAATGGAGGCAGTTGTGTTCCAATAAAACTTTATTTACAGGTACAGGTACTGAGTTTGGTATGAGGCTGTATTTTGCTGACTCCTGCCATACGCTGTCATAGCTGGTTTTCCTAAAGCACCACTTTTACTCTTTCTTGCACGGCTTTTTTTCCAGAGTTTACAGGCATCAGCAAAGCGGGCACTTTTGCAGGTTAGCAAACCCCATGTCCCATCAGAGAGGTCCCATGCCCTCCAGCTGCTCCCTGCCATGCCTGCTTTTGTTACCCTTCCCAGTCCTTATTCTCTACAGTAAGGAGGTGAGTTAAGAGCAAGCTCTTCCAAGCTGAACAGGATGTCAGAATATTTATGAGCACTGAAAGCTTGTCAAAGAGGCTGTCTTCCCTCAAGTATCCTAAAGGAATCATAAGAGTGATGACCCCAGGCCAAGAACATCGGATGGTATTTGTAAAGTTCATCTTCTCGTTCCAGATTCCTAACTTTAAAGGTCTGGTTTTCCCATGTTGGTATTTCATTTAGAAAAGCGTATTTCTGCATGCACGCTCTGACCTTGAAGTAGCACATTACAAGCTGAAACCCAGAAGCCTCATGCTCCATTACGAGTTCCTTCAGAGAGTTAAGCGGCTGCCCCTGGAGTACAGCTACGGGGAATACAGAGATCTCTTCCGTGATTTTGGGACCCACTACATCACAGAGGCTGTGCTTGGGGGCATTTATGAATACACCCTCGTTATGAACAAAGAGGCCATGGAGAGAGGAGGTATACTGCCCAAGGGACCATGGCTTTCCTAAAAGCTGGGGGAAGAGTCATAAGTTGAACTTGTAGTTTTCTTTCTACCTTCCTGGCTACACCTTCACAGTGTCATTTGCAGATTCCTCTTCCTCTTCTTTTTGATTGACAATGTCAGTCCTCCTCTGCCTAGCTCCCTAGGCCATTCTCTTTTCTACAGCTTTTCTCTCTATGCAATTGTATCCAATCCCATGGTTCTAAATACCTTCAGCATGCAGATAATTCCTGGATCTCTTCCTGGATCCATCCTGGATCTCTTCCTGCACCCGAGAGTTTATGTTGAAATGTTTCTTTGATGTCTGCATGTGAATGTGTAGCAAATCTCACCAGCTGAACATGTGCCCAAAGAGAACTTTTGACTTTCTTTCTCCAATATGTTTTATTCTATAGCCATCTACATCTCAGAAACGGTTCCACCAACGAACCAGTGGCTCAAGCCATAAAACTAGCAGTCCACCTTGATTATTTTTCTTTTCTTCAAATCTGCTGTTTTTTCTTTTCTTCAAATCCATCAGCTCTACCTCCAAATTATATTTTCTATTTTTCCTATTACCACCATAGGCTCACCCCATGACCAGACCTTCACATTCAAAATTTAATGTGGATGTGAATCAAGTATGAATCTTGGAAGAGGTAGATTCTGATTCAGTAGGTTTGGAGTGAGACCTAAGAGTGCATTTCTAACAAGCTTTGGAGTGACCCTGATGCTGCTGGCCAATAGACCATACTTTACATAGCAAGGTCTCAGATTATCACTGTGGTCTCCAAAGTAATATTCCACCCCCATCCCTCCCCTGTAATTCATCTTCATAGAGATATCCCAGCTCTTTCCAATTCCAGTCAACTACAAGTCTGCTGCTTTCCAACCCAATATCCTTTCCTATGACATGGCACTTGTTGGGTTAAGTGAATGGCTGTAGGTCACACAGATTGCAGTGGTGGAGCCAGGGCTTGATTACCAGTCCATGTACTTGCAAGAGGACACGTGGTACACCATGTAAATTTTTACAGTGTGGCCTCAGTCTTGTCAAAATCAGAGGTACCTTCCTGCATAAAAATGGTCTCAGAAGTACTTTCCACTGTTCCTCAAACATAAAAGGGCTTAATCATTAAATAAGTTAGGAAAACACATAATAGATTCCACTCTCAAAGTTTCACGAATGTACTCCAATAAAATGACCTCTCCACCTATTTTGATGCAACATTTGTCACACTTTCTTGACCACAGAAGTTCCTTTTCTCATAACATCTGCTACCATCTCATGGGATTCATGTTTCAAGAAATGCACTTTGGGAAAAACTGATCTATACCAACATTTCTAGACAGCCCTGGTGGTCAAAGTTGCTCTTTTCTCCCTGAACTGGCCTCAGAGTGCTTAGAGAGGTGCTTATAAGTCACGTCTGGAATTTCAGCAAGACAAGAGGAGGAGGATGCCTCAGGGAGAATTAGGGAGGAAGAAGTAGGAAATAGTCCAAAAATGAAGAAGAAATCAGGGAAATTTGCCCCTTTTCTTTGCCAGATACTATGCCTTACTTTTTATATGCATTTTCTCAACTAATTAATTAACACACTTTTTCTACTTTATCAAAGATTGGAGAAGGGTGGGTCAGGGAGGGCAGGCAGATTGTAACAGTCACTGTACTCACTGGATCTATCCCTAGAGAATCAATAAGCAGATCAAATTTTTAGAAAATGACTTTGAGCACTTCCCCTCTTTCAAAGTCAGCAAGAATCCTCAGAGAGCGTTGCGGGGAGGCTGAAAGGGAAGCTGGACCTGAGCTCTACGAGGTCTCTGCCCTGGTGCCATTTGCTGCCTACATTTCTTGTTATCAGGCTGGTGACCTATTTATTTGAACCCGAGTCCTTGTGACATTCAACAGGGCTAGGCCTCTGGACTCGATCATAGGAAAAGGGACAGAGTGAACTACCTTTTACGTCATGGACCTTTTTCCTTGTTTTCTTCAGATTATACTCTTAACAACGTCCATGCCTGTGCCAAAAATGATTTTAAAATTGGTGGTGCCATTGAAGAGGTCTACGTCAGTCTGGGTGTGTCTGTAGGCAAATGCAGAGGTATTCTGAATGAAATAAAAGGTGAGTGACAGGGGCTTGTGACTTCCACACTTATAATGTTTATCCTCCTAGTGCCTCTGGTGATTACAACACCTCCCTCCCTTTTTGAGACAAATACTATCCCAACTTCTAGGCCAACTATGTCCTTCTGTTTTTTATAGTTTTACCATCTAACATATCGCTAACTAACATGACTTAGTGTTGCTTATTTTTGAACTTTATATGAATGGAATATAATCCTTCCAGTCCTGTGTTTTCCATTCAACATAATGTTTTTGTGTATAACTATAGTTAGTTCACTTCTATCGCTGCATACTATTTTGTTGAATATACCACTTTCTTTGTCCATTCTACTGTTGATGAACACTTGGATTATCTCCTCTTTCAAGCAATTATAACTGATGCTGCTCTGAACATCTTACATAGTTATCTGGTACGCACGTACAAGTGTCTTTCCAGAGAATACACACAGGACTGGAATTGCTGGGTTTTAGAGGGTGTGCTTTTTCTATTTGACTAGATAGTGCTAAGCTGTTTTCTAAAATGGCTGTACCAATTTATACTCCTGTTGGCAGTAGATGAGGACTCCTCCCCTCCCCCAGCTTTTTTTTATTTATTTTTTATTTTTTATTTTTATTTTTTTGAGACAGAGTCTTACTCTGGCGTGATCTCGGCTCACTGCAATCTCCACCTTCGGGGCTCAGGCAATCCTCTCACCTCAGCCTCCTGAGTAGCTGGGACTACCGGTGCATGCCACCATGCTCGGCTAATTATTATTATTATTATTTATTTTATTTTATTTTATTTTTTACAGAGACAGGGTTTTGCCATGTTGCCCAGCTGGTCTCAAACTCTTGGGCTCAAGCCATCTACAAGCCTCGGTACCCTCAAAGTGCTGGAATTACAGGCATGAACCACCATGCCTGGCAGAGACGCCCCCCTACTTTTTAATGCTGCTCAGGTGTTGCAGGCTCAGACTTGAGGAGCTGTTTTATACCAGTTCTCTTTTTTTTGAGATGGAGTCTCACTCTGTCACCCAGGCTGGAGTGCAGTGGTATGACCTCAGCTCACTGCAACCTCCGCCTCCCGGGTTCAAGGGATTCTTCTGCCTCAGCCTCCCAAAAGCTGGGACTACAGGCATGTGCCACCACGCCTGGCTAATATTTGTATTTTTAGTAGAGACAGGGTTTCGCCATGTTGTTGGCCAGGCTGGTCCCAAACTCCTGACCTCAAGTGATCCACTCACCTCGGCCTCCCAAAGTGCTGGGATTAGAGGCATGAGCCACCACGCTGGGCTGTTTTACACCAGTTCTTTTGGCACTGGGGACATAGACACATTAGAATGGAAATAACTCACTGATATGATTGAGGGCTTTCTGGGCAACTCCGTAAGTCAAAATAATAATTGCTTTATAGTGGCCACTGTTTAGTAAGTGTCAGCTGCATGCTTACTTAGCACAGCCTTTATAAATTTTCCCACAATTGTCATCTCACACAAAGAAGTGAGACAATTTAAGGCCTGGACAGGGCCGTCTGGTAAGTACCTTCATCTCTCCCAGATTTCTTATCTGCACAGTGAGGATTATATAGCTACTATTTTGTAGTGAAGATCAAATGCATTCATACATGTACAGCACTTAGATTACTGACTGACACATAAATAATCAATAATTATTAGTTGTTAATATACCATTTATTCTTTACACGGATGCAGAGTATCCACTTTATAGATGAGAACAAAAAAGAAATCTCATACTGTATAAATGATTTGTCCCAAACCACAAGGCTAGACAAAGTCAGAGATGGACTCATGCCTGGTCAAGGTGTGTAGGGTGAGTGGAGGAGAGGATGAACTCAGTTTCCACCAGGTGAGCTCCACTACACTTTACCTGCAGGAGCCAGTTTGGAGAGAGGAAAGTTATTTGACCAAGGAACAGTGGCTATGAAACCAGGCAGACCTTGTTTAAAATTTATCTTTATCAGCTACTAGCTGTGTGGGCCTTGGCAAGTCACTTAACAATTCCAGGTACGTGTTTCATAATTTGTGAAGTAGAGCTAATAATGCTGGGCTCCTAAAATTGCTATCTGGTAAAAGAAAATATCATAGCCTGTCTATCTCTCTCTCTATCTATCCATCTACCTGTCTGTGTGTCTGTCTGTCTATTATCTATCTATCTATCTATCTATCTATCTATCTATCTATCTATGTATCTATCTATCTACTATTATCTACTATTATCTATCTATTTATCTGTCTGTCTATCTTTCTATCAATCTATTATCTATCTCCTATCACCTATCTACCTACTTACCTATCATCTATCTTCCTATCTACTCTCCTATCTACCTACCTATTTACCAGTCTATTATCTACCTATCTACCTACCTATTATCTATTTATTTATCTATCTAATCTAGCTATCATCTATCTTCCATAAACTTACTCAGAAACTAGCACTTACAGCTGCTCAAGATAAATGTCTTTTTCTTGTCCTGCCCTCAATTTGTATAGCCTATGGCTGGGTGAGTTTCCCTTTGCCCCATGCACCATGACTGCCCTGTGGACAAGGAAGTGTCTGGTCCACCCACATCTCTCAGACAAGTTCAGTGAATATGGTGTACCCAAATTGTTGGTTGGGTTGCAGCAAATTCTAGGGGGCAAAGGGATATCTTCTGTGACCTGCTAGCTCTGTGTCCATTCCAGACAGAAACAAGAGGGACACCATGGTGGAGGACTTGGTGGTCCTGGTACGAGGAGGGGCAAGTGAGCACATCACCACCCTGGCATACCAGGAGCTGCCGACGGCGGACCTGATGCAGGAGTGGGGAGACGCTGTGCAGTACAACCCAGCCATCATCAAAGTTAAGGTACACAACGCTGCTCTACCCATCCTTTCCTCCACCCAGAAAATAGCTTCTGAGGACCTACCATGAGCCAAGGTATAAAATGCAGAGATCACTAAGACCCAGGCCCTAATTTTGGGACACATATACGATAGTAGAAAATATATTTGAAATAAATAAATTATAACACACTGCTCAGTACTACCTAGAGACCCTTGACTCCCTCTCACTTGGGCCCCAAGTTGCTAAAGGAAACTAACAATCAGCTTCTAATTCTAGCTTACTCCTTCTTCTTCTTTTCTAGAGACAGGGTCTTGCTCTGTTACCCAGGTTAGGGTTCAGTGGCATGATCTTGGCTGATTGCAGCCTCCAACTCCTGGGCTCAAGTGATCCTCCTGCCTCAACCTCCTAAGTAGCCAGGGTTATAGGTGCATGACACCACACCTGGCTAATTAAATTTTTTTTTTTTTTTTAGAAATGGGGTCTTGCTATGTTGCCCAGGTTGGTCTTGAACTGACCTCAAGTGATCCTCCCACTTTTGCCTCCCAAAGTGCTGGGATTATAGGTGTGAGCCACTGTGCCTGGCCTCTAGCCTCTCTAGTGAAATAAAAGAAATATTAATTTATTTAAAATTTAATCAATTAAATTTAATCAATTAAATTAATATTCCTTTTATTTCATTAGAGAATCACTCATTTAGTTATTTATTCATTTAAACATTATGCATTCAACCAACAAATAGTTGCTAAATTCCTGCTATGCTACAGGAAGTAAGGTACTAAGGGAAGATAGAGGAAAATGCAAGGATAAAACATACAGTCTACGAGGAACAGTAAGATACACACACACACACACACGTAACTATCTTACAGGACAAGACATCACAACAACTAACATGTCTTGAGCACCTAATATATTCACGACCCTCTTTAGAAATATTTCTTCATCTAACATCTAGAAATGTTATTTTATGTAATCCCCACACTGGTCTGCAAAGTAATTATTCTTATCTCCATATTGTGGTTGACAGAAATCAAGGGCTAGAGAAGTTGTATCCATCTTTGGCTGCTCAAGAGTCTATTCGGTTCAAACAAAAGACTTTGACTTCTTCCCTCCCCTCTAGACTTTCCTGTGGGTTTGATGAATAAAACATAATGATCCTAACCACTTGTCACCCAAACTAGAGGAGTTTTACAATGTTAAACTAAAAAGATGTTTGTTAGACCAGGACTGTCATACACGTCAGCAATGGTAGGTCCTTGCCTGTGGGGACTTCTGCACAGGGCCCATAGCACGTCTTAACACCATGCTCTTCTTGCTAATGTCTGTACAGTCATTATGGGCCAGTACCTACTCACTGGAGATCCCACCTTGCAGTCAAGGTGGAGGGTTGAGGGACTGGTGCTCTGATGAGAGACTCTGCAGTCCCCAGCCTGGTGATTTCTTTATTTGCATGACAAATACACAGTTTCTGCAGAACAAGAAGGCTGCCATTCAAAACCTCTCCTTTGCACTTACTCAACAGTGGCACTTAGGGTACAGTTGCTGGCAAACATGAAAAGGATAAAATCAGCTGAGCTGCAGGGGCTCCTGAGAAATCTGGGCTTGGCCGATGCCATGGTGACATTGGTTGGCATCACAGCTGGTCATGGGAGAGAACAGAGTTCAAGGGAAAATAGATCCCTAGCCTTTATCTCTTTTTCCTGAGATATCTTACCTGAATCTTTTTTAAAAAACTGAGAACCAAATGAATTCCCTGGTCACTCAGATCAGTTGAATGTGCCTACCTGGGCACTGAGAATGTCAGATGCCAAGCATGTGATGTGATGTGGGATGTGTCAGAGAATCAGAGATGTTTTGGGAGTGTTGCAGGAGTAGAGGAGGCAAGAGTGTTGACGGCTTTCACACACATCTGTACCTTCCCACCCTGAGTTGGAAATATACACTCTGGGCATCCCACTCTCACATGCATTTTTTTTTTCTGGCAAGAGGGAACTGCAGATGGCTTCACATTATGTCAGAATAATTCTTCTCCGCAAAGCCAACTTACCAGGTAGCTGGAGTGGCAGTTGATTTCAAGACAGCAGAGCCCAGTAGACAAGCAATTTCTAGATGCAATAGTTTCAACCAAGGCTTAATTATGTAAACCAGTCTTCAAGATCAAGTCCTAAAACATGATTTCTATAGAAGCAGGTAGGCAGGGAAGGAGACCACAGAGGAACCCATTCTTAATGTTTAGCGGTAAACTTTAGACATAGGTAGCTCTTTGTTCAAAGAAGACTTAAGAGACAGCAATGAACATATAAAGAGATCTTGAACACAAAAGATTGAAATTATGTTCATGCTATAGGAAATAACGATGTCTAAAAAAACAGAAAAATAGAAGAAGATTTTAGAATACATTTTCTGTGATTATCATACAATTCAAGGAAATGAAGAATTTATGAAATAAAAGCTGAGGTGTTTAGACACTAATCAGATGAAAAGGCAAGTGGCTGAATACAGGAAGCCAAACATACAATAACAGAATTAAAGCCCACATTGGAAGCTATAAACGACAGAATTGACATTGCAGAAAATTGAGACAGTGATGTGGAAGGTGTTATAAACATGTTCTTAAAATGCAGACGCAAGAGACAGGGAGATTAAAACAATGGCAGAAAAGAAATACGATAGACAGAGAGTACAGGAGTAGAAAGCTTAAAACAGAGACCTCTTCCTAAGAAAGAGACAAAATTAAATGTGAAAACACATTAATCAAAAATATAAGAAGACAATCTTCCCTGAGCTGATAATGCAGAATGAACAGCTCATTGAAAACTAAGCCAAAGTACTGAAAACAAAACAAAGCTGAAACACATCCTGGTGAAAATGTTTACTTTTAGGAACAAATATATCCTACAGGAATAAAAGTCAAACTGGCCCTAGAATTCTTTGCAGTGTGAAATGCTTGAAGAAAATGGAGCAACAACTGAGGAGTCTTGAAGGAAAAACTTGTGACCTAGTGAAATGGTCATTAATGGGTGAAGAATTCCAAAGAGATTTTAGATAGTAAAGAAGTCACATAAAAAGTTGCTAGATTTTGCAAATGAAAACACAGGAAGTTCAATTAAATTTGAATTTCAGGTAAATAAGGAATAATTTTTTAGTGTAAGTATCTCCGAAATATTGCATGGGATATACTTAAACTAAAAAAAATTATTTGTTTTTTAATCTCATATTAAAATATAACTGAATGGCCTGTCTTTAACTGGTAATCCTAGTCACAAAGTCTGTCATCCATGTACATTTCTATGCTAGTCAGGATAGCTAGGTTGTTGGCTGGGTCCTATGCTGGTAGAGAAGCCATTGTATGAATTATTGGCATTGCCCAGGGCAGAAGGGAAAAAATACAGTAATGAATGGTGCCCACACAGAGATCAGGATAGCATAGGTCATGATGCAGAGAAACAACCTCCACATTTCAGTAGCTTGATACCACAAAAGCTTATTTCTCAATCACATATGTCCAAAGTGTGTTGGCAAGGGGGATTTGCTCAATGTAGTTGCTCACAGATCCAGCTGATGGGGGCTGCGTCTTGTCGTGTGCTCCCAAGATCACCACAGCAGTGATAATAAAAGAGTGGGACAAGTCACCTCACTCTGTTTGGAAAGCCTCAACCTTGAAGTGACACTCTCTTCTCACCTGTCACTGGTCAAAACAAGTCACATTGCAAACCTGCCTTCAAAGAGAGCAAGAATGTCAGCCTTACCATGTGCCCAGAAGGAAAAGAAGCTGAAATATTTAATAAACTGTAATAATGACCCTCATACCTTTCTCAAAGCAAGGTATCAAAGATTTTCTCAAAGCAAATTACTCTGGTCCAGGGAGTGCTTAAAATATAAATGCTGTGGCAGCATATGCCTGGAAAGACAATGTTGGATTTGGATTGACAAAGCTCACCTGCAAAAATAAATTCTGAATTTCAAAAAGGAAAACCCAGCAGGTGTGGTGGCTCACACCTGTAATCCCAGCACTGTGAGAGGCCAAGGTGGGTGGATGACATGAGGTCAGGAGTTCAAGACCAACCTGGCCAACATGGTGAAAACCATCTCTACTAAAAATAGAAAAATTGGCTGGGTGTGGTGGCATGCGCCTGTAATCCAGCTACTCGGGAGGCTGAGGCAGGAGAATCGCTTGAACCCAGGAGGTGGAGGTTGCAGTGAGCTGAGATCATGCCATTGCACTCCAGCCTGGGTGACAGAGCAAGACTCTGTCTCAAAAAAAAAAAGAAAAGAAAAAAGGAAAAGAAAAAACCAAGAAAACCCATGAATATAACTAAATGGCTGATAACACACCAAAAAAAAAAAAAAAAAAATTTACCACAAATGAGATCCTTAATATGTAAGGAATGATAGTTTTGAAGAAAGAAACATCTCAAAGGAGATGAACACTTCTCAGTTGGTTTATAAAGATGCAAAATGTTTAACTTCTGTAGTCATGAAAAATAAAAATTAAAGTAACTGCAATATTATATTCTACCTATTAAAGGGACAGTGATTGAAAGTCTACAATACTCAATGACATTGACTGTGATGAGATGGATATTTTTGTCAAATAGAATGGGAATATAATTTGATACAATTATTTAGGAACAGAATTTAAGCAGATATATTCAGAACATTAAAAATGCTTATAGCTTTTCATCCAACAACACCCAATGCAAGAATGTACTAAAGAAATAATTTGACAAGTTGGTAAAGATGTATGTGTAAAGGCATGTCTTAGTTTGTTATTTGAAGTAGCAAAAGGGAAAAGAAAGAAAGGAAATGTCCTAAAGGCTCAAGAACAGAAGAAGAGTTGAATACATTGTGGCTCATCCATATAGAAGGATACTCTGAAGATGTAAGAAGCCATTTTATCAAAGACGATGGAATCATGTGGAAAAATGCTCATATTCTGATGTTAAGTGAAGAAAGTGAGATATAAAATTACACTTATGCCACCAATTTGGTGTAAATTGCTACCTATTCATCCCTTGGATAGGTCCATCTACCTGCCCAAAAATATACACTGAAAGGAAACAGACCACAGGGTTAACAGGTCACACCCTTTTTCCACCACTCACTAGCTATGTGACTTTCGTCAATCTACTTAATGTCTCTGTGCCTCAGCTTTTTCACCTGTACAAGAAGGAAACAAAAGACTAACGAACTCATAAGATTGTTGCAAAGATTAAGTTAGATAATGTATATAAAGTGTTTAATTCAGCACCTAATAAATGCTAGCTATGGAAATAATTATTTGTTATCACTAAGAACACCAAGGTTTAGTATGGAAACTTGTGTAGAGTTTAGTCGGTGCTCACCATTTCTTTGCAGCAATATGATAAAAGAAAATTTTCAGAAGGGCAGGTGTGCTGAGGATCCAATGATCAATGTCAGTGGTTAGAACTGTGTATTTGGGGGAGAAGTGGGAAAGAAAGAGAAAGAGAAAAGGAGGACAAAAGTTAAGGAGGGAGGAGCAAAAGGAGAGAACAAAAAAGACAGGAAAAAAATGAGCAGCAAATCAAAGAACAGACGAATGTGCTATATTAAGTTTAAAAAGGAAATTTGGAGCCTTGAGGAGTTGCTGTTAAGCTGCAAGTCAAACCATAGCTGGCAAAATTTGGAGAAGCCTAGGAGGGAGACTGTAAATGGGAATAATCAAGCCATTTTTATCAATAATCATGGTGAACTAGGAGGAAAAACAGGTTTTGGAATAGAATTCTGGTAATACCATATATGAATTGCGTGATCTTGATCAAATTACTTAGCCTGACCTGAAAATGGGGCTGATAATTGCTAGTTTGTGAGGATGAAGTAGGATCATATTTGTAGACCTCCACACAGCTCCCAGGACACAGTATATATGGAAGGTTTATTCCAGTTTGTCCTCTGATTTCCTCTGCCTCCTGCAGCAAACCCCAGTGCTGGTAGGAAAATGCCTTTTTGGTTAATGGCAGCCTTTCAAGGTGCTTTGGGAGCAAAATCAGATGTTGGAGGAGCTCTTCATTGGTGTAAAGCAAGCTCCCCTCTTTCTCTCTCCAAACTCCCACCCCCACCCCTTGTGTGGCCAGCAGGTTGGATGGTTCTGCAAACAGCCTCTGGATCAATTCATTGACCACAAAATGGTGAGACAATGGGACCACCAAGGGGCCTTGCTTTGCCCACTGGAGCAAAGGTCAGCATCAGATGCATTAAGAAATGGAAGCAATTTTCTTCCCAAGGGAGGCTTCTATTAGTCATGATTGCCTGCATTTAGACGTACCCTAAACTCTCCAGGGCAGGATTAGGGCAGAATCACAAGCAAAAGCTGGAGAGGAACCTGGCCCTGGAGTTGCAACTTGAACCAAGAGGAATAGAACATTTTTAACTATCTATTTGGACTGTCTGTGCCTCTGGTTTTTCTAACCCACAAATAATGCCACATCTATCTGTGACTTCTCCGTCTCAAACATGGCCATGCCCACTGAGTGAGCAGCATCTGCTGATTCTTCCTCTATGCTTCTGACAGCCAAACCCTCTCATCCATGCCCCCTGCCATCACCTTAATGAGGCCTTCCATCCCCCTACATCCATCCAGCCACTATATTCACTTAGCTGGGGGCTGGACCCTCGAAACACAGAGCTGAGACATTGCCCTGATCTCTGGGAGCTTACAATCTAATCAGAAAAGAAAAAAAAAAAGGACCCTGCACATAAAAAAAAAAAGACAGTATTGACTATAAAGGAGCAATAAAAAACATGGGATTTGTTTCAGATGAGTAGTGCAGACAGTATCTTGAGTGATTAATGGAGGGAAGTTGTTCTGTGAGCTTTGCAGCTCTGGAAGGTTCCTGATAGTGACTCTTGCAGGATGGGAATGATTTTGATAGGTTTGGAGGGCTTAGTGATGTTGGGACAGTACCCCTATAATCCTTCCAAAGAGCTGCTGGAAAATCACCTTCTCTGCCCCACCAAAGATAGATGAAGCATCCACTCCTTTCTGCTCTCACCTGCTTCTTTCTACAAGTTTCTGCTGGTGCCTGTATCCACCATGTGGTAACCATCTGTTGGTATGTTTGTCTGTCTCTCTCGATTCTGAGTTCCTTGAGAGTAGGGATTTTATCTTACTCATTTTTTATGCTTAATACCTAGCACTTAGTTAAGCATTCTAAGTGTTTGTTGACCTGAACTTGAGTGAGCTAATTTGTGTATATCGGGTAAGGGGAAGCAGAGAGAAGATGGGAGATCCATCTAGTTTCATAGGAACCCACATGTGGTCTCTATACACTGATCCCAGTCCATTCCTTTGTAGTTTTGTTTTACACTTCTACTTGATAAATGTTTTTCTCTTGAAATAAATGCCCTTTTCCCTTTCCAGGTGGAGCCTCTGTATGAACTAGTGACAGCCACAGATTTTGCCTATTCCAGCACAGTGAGGCAGAACATGAAGCAGGCACTGGAGGAGTTCCAGAAGGAAGTTAGTTCCTGCCACTGTGCTCCCTGCCAAGGAAATGGAGTCCCTGTCCTGAAAGGTACCACTTTCAGGCAGCTGGTGTCCCTGGTGGAAGCCATAATCTGAAGCAGGCCGGGGGCCAGCCATTTGCCTGCTTCTGTTTACTGAGAAGTCAGAATTTAGTCCACTGGGAGATACTACTCTGGCTGTCAGTATACCTGGGTTCTAGCCCCAAGGGTTACCGTGGGTGACAGCATCATTAAGCTGAAGACAGTAGCAGGCTGAGATCCTGTGGTCCACAGCAAGGAGTGGGAATAAACTCAGAGAATCTCTACCCAAAGGGGGCCTGGGCTGAGTAGGAGAAGCCCTTTGTGCATGTCCTGACTAATACATAATAAGAAGATTTGGGGGTAGCAGCAAGGATGGGCCACTAGAACTTGATTGTTAAACTCAAGAGTCATGTTGGGGTCACTGCAGTGAGCAGGGCAGACTGGGAGGGGTGAGAGCCTGGGATCTTATGCTCCTGTTGTGATAGCCTAGCAAGACTCTAAAAAAGAGGCCAGCCCAGCACACAAAACAGGGCATCAGGAGCAACTGGTTACAGCAAGTCTCAGCCCAGGGAACCAGCAGGAGTCAAGGCAGAGCCCACGTGGATGAAGTTAGCTCAACGGAAGGGATATAGAAGAAGGTGTATTCTCAGGCAGAAAGGGTCCAGTTGCCAGACTGGGATTGAGGAATATGTCTCTGGCTCCTTGGAGAGGATAGACATGAGCAGAGAAGACATAAGTGAGAGCATACAGCCTAGAAGTTCTGCTATCAGCACAAGGACCCCTATGTGAGGGTTAGTTCTGCAGCAAGTGGGGTCAGCTCATCAACTCAAGATTTTAATCTAGGGTTGCTGAACTCTCCCTTGCCTTGTACGAAATTTGGACCTAGAAACTTGGACCCACCTGAGGCTATAGAGTGAAGGTGAGGGAGAATATGGAGCCAGAGACTGGGATGCTTGCAGGGCCTGACCTATGATGGACACCCTGTAAGGAGATTTCTTGTGATTCATATGAGAAGTTGCTTGACAGATTACAAATTCACATAGGGCATCACTTCCAAGGAGTCAGAACTGGCCAAAAGTCAGATGAGACATCTAAGAGTAATGAGTTCCCCATCCTCGAGGTATTCAAGTCTAAGCTAGGCAATTATTTGGTGTGAAATTGAACATCAATGACAACTGGCCTCAGTGACTGCTAATGTAGCTTCTGACACTGAAAGCATTTAAGTATGGGTCAAATGTCAGCTCATGAGTAATTGTCTTCAACAACTCTATGTATTCCTAGGGATGACAATAAACACCCCTTCGTGGCAAAGGCCCTCAGGAAAGGAGTAGGTATTCCTGGCCCTGAACCTGCCTATAGCAAGCCATTTAACTAAATATGTGCTCTGTTTTAACCTGATGGAACTGCAGTGATTGGAGGGCTGAGCTCCAGGAGTTCTTTGCTCCACCTGGCATGATTCACACTTTCTCTGCCTTGTCTTCTCAGGATCACGCTGTGACTGCATCTGTCCTGTTGGATCCCAAGGCCTAGCCTGTGAGGTCTCCTATCGGAAGAGTAAGTTAATTGGAAAAGGAACTCTGGGGAGGTCCAGAGAATAATTCACCAGAAGAAGAGCAAGGAGCTGGTGTGGAGTGTGGGGCTGGATACTAGGAAACCTGAGATCCATCCTGCTTAAACTCAGCTTGGATTGAAATTCCATCTCCATCATTTAATAACTGATGGATTGATTGTTATGCATTTCATTATTTTTACAACACAGAGTGCTTCATGTTAGAGAAATATCAATGCGTGGCTTTTGTAAGCCATCTCTTTGGATCATTCTGGAATGCTTACCCTCTTTTCCTGCTTAGTATACTGCTATTCAGCCCTCAAATTCCAGCACGTATGCCCCCTCCTCCATAAAAAATTCCTCTAATCCCCAAAGAATGAGCTAATTCCTCCTGCTGGCTCCCCCGGGACTTTGAACATGTATCTATTATAGCTCTTTGTGCATTGTATTTTGGGTTGATGTATCTATCTAACTCCCCTGCATCTGTGAGTAGGGACCATGTCCCATTTACCTCTGTGTCTCAGTAGCCAGGCACAGCTGTTGCTCAGTGATAATAGTTGAATTAACAAATGAAAGACTTGGCTATCATTAAGATCCCTTCCAGATCTCAAATTCTTTGGCCAGTTTAACACATAAGAGCTCTCAATCTTTCACTCCTCTCTCACTTTTATTCCTTTCAGCGACTTTTTGGTGATACTGTTCAATATGGAAATGGCACATGTAAAACAAACAACGAACATTTACTGGACACTTTACTATATAATAGACACTTTGCTGAGTGCTTAAACTCAGCTTGGATTGAAATTCCATCTCCATCATTTAATAACTGACCTGGAGCAAGATACTTGACCTCTTTATGCCTCAGTTTCTGTGCCTGTAAGATGAATATGATCATATTAACAACCTCATAGAGTTGTCTTGACTTTGTAAGGAGGCATATAAAGCGTTTGGAATGATACCTTACACATTGTAAAAGCAAGATAAACATTGGTTACTTTTTAAAGAGCACATTGTTACTTTGTATCTTATATATATTAAATTCTTTAATCCTCACAACAACCCCATGAAGTAGATATTATTGATATTCCCATTTTATAGATGAAGAAACTGAGGTTCAATGGGTCACTAACTAACATACCCAATAGTCACACAATTAGGAAGTGTGGAAACCCAGGTTCAGGTCCAGGGGTCTGCCCCCACAGCCTTTGATCGTAACTCCTGCCTGCACTCTTATGTTCCCAGTAAAACACTCAAGGTTGTCCACCCTCTCATCTTGCACCTCAACCATGCCCCTAGCAGTCATCTTCCCAGTGAGTCTGCAGTCACACAACCACAGGGTTCCTATTGGTTGGAGGAGCCCTTGGGAACCATGCACTCCAGCTCTCTTATTTTTCAAATGGAGAGGCCCAGTTATTAAGTAATTTACCCAGAATTACACTGTGAGGTAGTGGCAAAGCTGGACACATGATAAATTGTGATGGAAGTGATTGATGACTTGCCAATCTCACCAACAATCAAAAATCCTCAAGTGAAAGCCAAGTGTCAGGGTGTGGAAAGCACTGGTGTCTGTTGTCACTTCATCTACAACATCCATTGCTCACAGTAGATAACACAGCTCCCATTATATAGTTTGAGAAGAAGATAACTATCCAGCATCCTATAGGTGGGAACTGTCTAAGCTGGAAAACATTCATTCATTTATTTATTCATCCATTCATCCATTTAACACATGTTTAGCAAGGGCCTCCTGTTTGCCTGCCTAGCTGCTAGGTGAACAAATAAGATACAGCCCCAGTCACAATAGAGATTTTGCTTTGGAAAGGAAGGCCAATATCATTTGAATTGTCCCATAAAGTTCTTTAAAGTTTAAATTGTAACAACTGCTACAAAATGCTCAGAGAACTTAAAATATGAGGAATTGATGGAGAGTTAGGAGTCACAGGGAATTGATGGGGACTGGGGGAGTCAGAGAAGATTTTCCTGAGGAAATAACACTTTTACTGAGATCCGAGGGGTGAATTGGATTGACCAGGTGAGTAGAGGAGGGAAGAGTGTTCTGGGCACAGGGGGGAAAGCATATGCAAAGGCCCTGTGGTAGGCAAGAGCATGACAAGTACAATGGCCAGGAAAATGGCAGCAGGGAGCTCAGAGATTCAGACTCCCAAAGCCTTTTGGCTTACATAGCTCACCCAACCCCAGTAAGGCACCAGAATATAAGAAGTGCTGATTGATGCTTATTGACCTTCTTTCTTATAGATACCCCCATTGATGGGAAGTGGAATTGCTGGTCAAATTGGTCTTCATGCTCTGGAAGACGTAAGACAAGACAAAGGCAGTGTAACAATCCACCTCCTCAAAATGGGGGTAGCCCCTGTTCAGGCCCTGCTTCAGAAACACTTGACTGCTCCTAGCAGATGATACAGCAGTGGGCTACATACAATGAGAGCCCTGAGCCCTCAAGAACTCATGCCAGCTCAGCCCTACACCAGTTTCCACCTGGAGTTCATGCAAGGGCAAAAGGCAGTGCCATGCAAGCTGTTTAAAATAAAGATGTTACCTTGTAAAATGCAAGTTGATTTAAATAAATACTGAGTTAAAGGCTTAAGCATCTTTGTAATCCTCACCTTACTCACTCTACAATTTTATTTCACTCATATTGACTACCAGCCAGGAATTGTGTTGGAAGTTGTTCACATTTCAGTTCCACTCTCTAGCCCTCTAGCCGTGACTGGTTAGAAAGCGGCAGACCTGGGCTATAAAGTCAGGCTCTAGAGTTTTAAATTCTTAACTATGATGCTGTCTTACCTCTCAGTAAATGAGTATCTGATTAACAAAGAATTTTTCATGAAATAAAATGCAGCAGAAATTACTGTGTGTGTGTGCATGTGTGTGTGTGTGTGTGTGTGTGTGTGTGTGTGTGATTGACAAATCTCCAGCCACTCCCTTCTGAGGAGAGAGGATCCTGATTCCCCAGCTCACTTTGATGCTGAGCATAGGAAGGGTGTGGTTGTGCATGTTGGAAGCAGGAGTTCTGGGGCAGAGTGGAATTGTTGTGCTTAATAAAGGAGTGGCAAGGTGGGTTCCCAGGGAAGATCCTGAGCTGGAGAAAAGAGCCAGGGAAACTGATCCCTGAAGAAGAGAAAGTTGAAAAAGAAGAGAAGATCATGGTGGCTGGAAGAGGAAACACGTGAAAGAGAATTTTAAGTTGATGGCTGTGGGGTAATGTGCAAGGTAAACTGTTCCCTACCTCCCCCATGAAACTGTACATTCTACTTTGCTCACTTATGCTCTTGTGCAAATACCATTTTGAGGGGAGGGCAGAAGTCTTGAAGAAGAGAATAAGAAGACAATTTTTCTCTGGGCTACCAGAAGTAAAATTTTAATTTTCTAGATTGTCAAGTGAGCATTTAAGCTTTATTTCTCTCATTCATTCAATCGTATTAAAACATCCTGTAAGATTTTCTTTGCTCTTGGGCCCCTCCTGTCTGATTTAAGTACTTCAGGTGAATTTCTTGAAATAAAGTTGGTGGGGTAAAAAAGCAGTTGGTTAAAGGTGAATTGGTTCATCCTGTTGATTCAACCCATTGATTTTCAGCCAAATCATCTGCTTGGAGTTTACCACTGGGTTTGACGCTGGGGCCTGAGACCTTAACATGACACCAAGCTTTGGTTACTGGCACACAGCAATCTCACCCAACCAGCTATCTGGAATTGGGTCCATAGAACAGCCATCAGAAGGAGCTGCTATTGTACTTCTAGGGGTTCTTCCAGCAAGTATGGTGATCCTGCCTGCCTTCCCGCATCCCCATGGCCCCTGCAATTCAGCTGATGGGTCTGGGCCCTTGTTTGGTTTATTATTATTGCTTTGCCGTCTGCTGTTATTTCAACAGGATAATCCAATAATGTTTTATCTCTTTCATTATACTGAAGCCGTATAATTTTCTTGAGTTATAATCTATCTCTTTTAAGATTCCCCTGAGACAGGGAAGAGCGATTCTGTCTTTGGTTGATGGGAGGCTCCCATGAAGTTGACACTAGCATGTTGAAGCGAGCGCTGCCAAATTAAATTCTGAATCTCAATCACAGCCACTGTTTCTAATGGGAAATTTGAGTTGATTATGGAGATGACAGCCCAGGTTCACATTTATTGCATTTAGCAGAAATTGTTTATCCTATTAAATACGGTCTTGAAGGAGAGACAATTGAATTTTGGAGCACCGGTGAATACCCGGGTGACGCCCAGGCATCGCTAAACTGTGTAATAATTATATTCTTATTTGTGGGCTGAACTTCCCCACGTGGCTCTTTCTGCAAACAAATGCATTTTGGAGGAGGCTGAAACACAATGTAAGAATTAAACAAAATAAATGCAAACCGTGCTTTTGGAAAATCTTGGCAACTGTGGCTTTCACTGGTGTACCAGTGAAGGAGCTGCAGTATTCGAGGGGCAGAGTCCAGGCAGGACAGTTTGGCTGTGGTCCTGGAAGCTTGAACACAGCACAAGATGCCTGGATGTGGGAGATTTTTGCATCCCAGAGCATAAATCTTTAAAATGCTTTTAGCTTCATGTGCTTAATGTCCAGGTGGGAGGCTTTCCATGTGACCTTGGACTAATAACATAATTTCTATGGGAATAATAATTATTATAATTAGTTTAACAATAGTAATAATAATAATAGCTGCCAATTATAGAGTGCTTCCCAGTTTATGAAGTCTTTTAACCTACATTATCTTATTTAATCTTCATCTGAATTTCATAGGGTAGATATTAATACAATCATTGGATGACAGGTAGAGAAAGTTTCAAATGGAAACTCAATCCTTATGACTAATGAGTCAACTATAGAAGTCAGGATGGGATACAGAGGTCAGGAGAAAGAGCACTTGCTGGCAGAGAATCCAGATAGAAGGAAAAGTCATCTCTGTCTTAAAGAAGAGGACTCTGGCCTGCTCCCAGGTACTTATAAAAAAAAGTCCTCAGGAGAAAGTGGGCCTGGCACAGAATGCCCTTGGGGACATCAGCCTGGCATCCCTCAGGACCTTCATGATCTGCACCTTGGTGGAAAAACATACTGGCCATAGGATCTTGCACGCAGCAGCCCCACCACTCACCCTCCTGTTGAAGCCAGTTCCTCATTCATCCTCCAGGTCTCAGCTGTCTCTTCTTTCCTACAGCCTTCCTTGCTTCCATTACGTTAAGAGAGAGATGTCTACTCTCTCTGTTTTCATTTCACTCTGTACTTCCACCATCACAATAGAGGTAAGTCTGAAAGTCTGAAAATGGAGAAAATATTTTGTTTTACAGATTGAAGATGTCCTTAATGACATCGTGCCTACCCACCAATGTTTCTAGACTTTGCAGACATTGTATAATTTACTTGTTGCTTATTCTATCTCAAATATAGCATCCATGAAAGAGGGACAGTGTCTACTGTGCTAATATATCCCAACTTCTAAGTTTAGTGACTGGCACAAGTAGACCATCAATAAATAATTGGGTAATTAATGAATTAATGAAAGGAATGAGTAGGGCCTAGGGAAGAACTTTCTCATGCTGGTGAGAACCTTTAGTGAATTTGTGGTACATGATAGTGGCATCATGAGAGTAGGGGCAGAGCAACCCCTAGGGTAGGGGCAACCCACGTAGTAGTGAAGGATAGGCACCTTCAACTGGCTTTGTGGGCAGCAGTGCAAGAGCAAAGTGAAATAAAAGGGAAGAAAAAACAGCTGATGTCATGAAGGGAGTGATAATACCTGTTTGGAGGTGGTATTGTTGACACCTCCTGGGGACAGCCAGGAATCCCCAAGGAAGCTTTACCAAGGAAGGGAACAAAAACTCTGCAATTATTGGTGGAGTAAACCTGAGAAGCACATTTACAGGTTAATGAGAAAACCAAGGCTCAAGAGATTTTAAAAGGCCTACCTACTATGTGGCAGAGGTAGGAAAGAGGAACTTAAAAAAATCATCTTCCCACATTCTGCTTCACCCTCAGTGTTCTCATCTCTACATTAGTTTTAAACCTAGAATGGCCACAAAAAACCTAATGGCAACACATTACCATAGTGCATGTTAGGTCTTTGAGATTCCCTGTTTATTGAATGTTGGCATGAAATCAGATCTTTCTATATTGTGTTTTCCTCTTTGAGTTACCATTCTTAAATGTTAGGCCAGATTCCGATAGTGAGGTATTCAGAAACTCAGGGATCTGTTTATAGAGATAATGGGGGGTGTTGTCACAACCTCTTAGGCAAAACTGGAAGGACAGCATAGAGAGAGGCCAAATAGCATAGTGCTTAGAAGCCAGACTGCTGACATTTGAAGCCTGGCTCTGTGACTTACTACCTTGTGGCCTTATACAAGTTATGTACCTGTCTGTGTCTCCATTTCCTCATCTGTGAGATGGGGATGGTGGCAGTGTCAGCCTCCTGGGGTTTTGTAAACATGTGAATTACTGCATTTAGGAAAGCACCCTGAACCTAGTAAGCATTCCACAATTAGCTATGTCATTACTATCATCATTTCCAGGGATTTTCAAAACATCAACAAGAACCACAGGTTGGTTATTTTTTAAGCCATTTAAAACTGCTTTAAAGACATTTCAGTGCAAAACCCACTATATCATACAAGAACAAAAAGACATAAAATAGCTTAGCTCCTAGGGAATGTCTTAATAAAGGACATGGAGGGTTTTTATATCCCAAGCTCTGGGTTATTAAGAAAAAATGTATCAGCATAATAACTAATATTTGCCGAGGGCATTACCTGTTACAAAGAACTTTCACATACCTAATCCAGCTTAATCCTCTCAATGCCTGCAACAGGAAGGATTCATTATCTGCCTTTGACAGGTGATGAGACAGAGCCTCGGAGAACCTGAGTGATTTGCCCAAGACCACACAGCTTGAAAGCAGCAGAGCTTAGTCCAAGAGCTGCAGCCTCTGTCCTCATGTCTCCCACAACAGCAGAGGCAGATCCAGCTTCATCCGTAGAGCAAATACCCACCTGCCTGCTTACATAGAAGGGGCAGAGAAAGGCCCTTGGTCTGACATCCCTGCAGTGGAGAAACTGAGCAGGTTTGGAAGGCTTTGCAATAGACAGACAGGTGTAACACCCAACGCCATTACTTCCTAGCTGTGTGCCTTGAATCAAGTCACTTTTCCTTTCTTGGCCTCAGTGTCCTCATCAGAAAATGAGGCTGTTAATCTTCAGGGCACAACTCTGAGGATTAACATTCTTGGGTGCTGAACAAAACAGTCTTGCCTAACTTCTGCCTCTTTTTACCCTGCCTAGCATCTGTCTCTTTGAGTAGGTGGATATATTTTACAAAAAGAAAAATGAAAAGAAATGGTGATTGCATTTGCAGTAGGGAATTCTCGGAGGATTGTCAAAGGGAGTCAAGTGGCTAGTCTGACATTCACCTCTGTGTAGCAGGCCGTGCCGGAGCCTGGGCACTCCCATTATCGCTATTGGCTGCATCCACCAGTTATCTCAAGTCTACACCTTGCAACCCCAGGTGTTCCTTCATCCATCATTGGCCATTGTTTGTATCCACTCCTCCTTCCCTCACCACCTCCTGCCAGATGACTCCTTGTTAATAAGCCAGTTTGCTCACATACTGAAAACTATCTGATTCTGGCCCCTTTTATCCCAAACACCGCCCATCCATCAAATGCTTGCTCCACATGCTTGCTTAGGAAAATGGGAATGGGGGAGGGAGACAAATCATAGATAAAACTTCTTAGCTGCTTATCTCTAAAGAAATAGAATGGATAAATAGATCTGTCAGACATGTATCATGCCACTGGTCAGCAGAGTCCATTTATTAAAAACAGGTTAGGAAGGGAGGATTTATCTCACATTTTAAGCTGTTAATATAGAAGGAAAACATATTTTCCTTTATCTCTCCCAGGGGAAATTCTAAGGCCATGAATGAGGAATTTTTAACTCGATTTGATGGACTTCCCTTCACTAAGGTGAAAAAGGTGGGCTGTCTCTTGAATTTGTGCAGCCTTCAGGAACGACGTGGGCTCGGCTGTCCTCTGACATACCAAGAAGGTTGCAGGACTCAGGAGTCCTGTGAAAGTGTCTTTCATTAGGTTCCCTCTCATGAGTTTCTGCAGGCTAGACACAAAAACCATTCTAGAGTCTTTACCTCCAGCACAGAGAAACCAGAGACAACAGCAGCCAACAAACTTTCTCTGGAAAATTCCTATGTACCAAGTATGATGCTAGGTGCTAGGGCTTCAACAGTAAATAGGATTCCCCACTTGCCCTGCAAGAAGTCACTGGGTGGGGTAGACACACAACTAGGCTACAGGGATGGAGCATGGAAAAATGCTAGAATACAGAGCTACGTGAGGGAGGAGGACCTGATGAAGTGTGGGGTAATGGAAGGGGTCAAGGTTGGTTTTCTGGATGAACGGACACCTAACCTATTCCCGGGAAAGTGCTGGTGAGTGGCTAGAAGATGAGAGCTGAGAAGTGGGAGTGGGGTAGTTCTTCTAGGAGCAGTATGTGCAAAAGCTGTAGGCAATAAAAGGCCTGACCTATTTGGGGAACTAAATTGGAAATAGTTCTTTTTTTTTAGAGAGTCTCCCTCTGTTGCCCAGGCTGGAGTGCAGTGGTGTGATCTAGGCTCACTGCAACCTCTGTCTCCTGGGTTCAAGTGATTCTCGTGCCTCAGCCTCCCGAGTAGCTGGGATTATAAGCGCCCGCCGCCACACGCAGCTAATTTTTGTATTTTTAGTAGAGACAGGGTTTCACCATGTTGGCCAGATTGGTCTTGAACTCCTGACCCCAAGTGATCCGCCCGCCTCAGACTCCCAAAGTGCTGGGATTATAGGCATGAGCCACCGCGCGTGGCAGAAATAGTTCTTTAATTCAATAAACATTTACTGCACCCCTACTAAGGCTAAATACTATTTGGTACTGGGGATCTAACCGTGAAAAGTCTTGCTTAATAATGGGGGGAGTCATACTGTCTTAGTTGTTTCAGGCTGCTATAGAAGAATACAATAGACTGGGTGGCTTAAACAACAGACATTTATTTCTCCCAGTTCTGGAGGCTGGCAAGTCCAAGAGCAAGGTGCCAGCCCATTCAGTGTCTGATGAGTCACTCTTTCTGGTTTGCAGACCACTATCTTCTTGTATCCTCACATAGCAGATTGCAGAGAGAAGCAAGCTCTCTGGTGTCTCTCCTTATAAGGGCACTAATCCCATCAAGAGGACTCCATCTTCATGACCTAAGCACTCCCAGAGGCCCCACTTCCTAATACCATCCCATTAGGGATTAGGATTTCAACATAGGAATTTGGGGGTACACAAACATGCAGTCCATAACATATGAGAAGAAAAAAAGAACAAATAAACAAATCTATAATGTCAGGTAACGGTAATTCTGTATGAGAAAAATCAATGAAAAGGGTGAGCCTCTTTACATAGGGTGCACAGAGAATGTCTTTGCAGAGGTGACGCTTGAGCAAAGACTTGAATGAAATGAGGAAGTGAGCTGTGGATGAGCTCATTTAGATGGTGAACATCTCAGGCAGAGAGGACAGCAGGTGCAAAGGTCCTGAGGAGGGGAGGGCCTGGTGTGCATGAGGAATGGCAAAAGGGCCTGCATGGCTGGAGGAGCATGATTGAGGGAAGAACTGAAGGGAAGGACATGAAAGGGAGCCAAGGGCTCGTCACACAGAGCTTTGTTCCTCATGTCAGGGACAATAGATTTCTCGCACAATTGGCTCATAAAGTCTGAACAGAGATAAAGGTGGAGGGGTACATCAGCCTCAGAGATGTGCTTTATGAATCCAGTTTCAAATCCATGGCCTTTATAACAACAGCTGTGGGCTTGCTGAAAGCCCAAGAGTACCCCAGGGTAATCAGAAAAGGGGCTGTCTGTGGGAATCTCCCTGGGACCAAGAACTGGCTCCCCTCAGGAAAGGCCCAGTGACCAAACTGGAATTCCAAACTCAGTCATCTCCAGCCTGACAAATTCCAGCACCATTACCCAAAGAGCTGAGCAAAAATTGCCCCACACTCTATCTCCTGGTTTTCCAGCTCTGTTACTTTGCACATTTCCCCTGCACAATCGTGCCCCTCCTTCTGCTTTCTTTGATGCTCCAACTCTCATTGTGTCTGAGATTCTGCTGGCCATGTCCTGGCTGCCTGCCCTGCTCCCACAGCTGGTTATCCCCCACAGGTCCCTGGGCTTCCTGCTGCCTGGGACCTATTGCCATTGTTCACAGCTCTCCTTTACCAGGCTGCATTCTTCCAGGGATGGGACCATGTCTGATCCATTTCTGAACCTCCAGCACCCAGCATGGGGCCTGCACAAGAGATCTCCAGAGAGTATTTTGCCCATTTCTGATGTGAAGGAGTATCACCATAAATTTTCTTCATGCCTTTCCTCTAATCCGTATCACATCCCCTTCCTCTCATGGCACTCAGTGGCTTCACTTTGCCATCTCTCATTTCTGCAATGTGGCTTTTGAAGCCTACCCTTTCTCTCTGTCCATTTTCTTCACCCTAAAGGCATATAGTTCAGAAGAGATTCATTGAGTGCTGAACTCTTTAGATCTTCCTTTCTCACAAAGAAAAAAAAAAAGAAAAAAGCCTCTCCTTATTGCTTTTTATTCTGTCATTAATTTACTTTTCAAAAGACACCTTGTCAAGCTGAAGATTATATCTTTAAACCATGTATTTACACCCACTACCTATAAAACCTTAGATTATAGATCTTCTTAAAAGACCTAAGGGAAAATGCATTGGATGAGTTTTATGCTTTTTGCTTTGTGAGAGCCAGTCATTCTTGAAGAGGGAAAGCTGCTGATGTAATAAAGGGTTGCTATGCTTGAAACTGCCACTGTATTTTAATTTGTAAAGCTTTTGGGGATGTAGCATCCTCAGAGGAGTGGGACAGATGCTGGCTTGGGTTCTCTGGCTCAGAAGACAGGAAGACAGCATTGCTCAGCTGGTGGTTTTGGCTCACAGATGATCCAGGCAATTACTTAATCTCAAAGTTCTCATCTTTTGCCCAGATTACTACACTTACCTCCTGATGAGCCTCCCTGCCTCTGGTTTCCTCCCCTCCCTTGTGCCCCACACACTATTCTCCAAATCCCTCCACCAGCAGACAAGAGCAAAGGGTGGGTGGAGGAAATGGAAGCGTGTGTTTGATGTGACGCATTCAAACCCTGGCCTGCTCTGTGACCCATGAGGCTCAACCTTGCTGAGATTCAGTTTCTTGGCTGCACAATAGGACATAGAAAACAAACCTTAAGAGATCTTGCATAAGACTAGTTAAAATAGCACAAATAACTTTACTGTCCCTGCCTTTTTGTTTTGTCACAGACCCCATTCCCCATGCAGGTATAATGATTCCTCCACTCTCAGGAGCCTCAACCTTGGCTGCACTTGGAATCACCTGAGGAACTTTTAAAACTAAGGATGTCAGGCCGGGCGCAGTGGCTCAAGTCTGTAATCCCAGCACTTTGGGAGGCCGAGGTGGGTGGATCACCTGAGGTCAGGAGTTCGAGACTAGCCTGACCAATATGGCGAAACCTCATCTCTACTAAAAATACAAAAATTAGCTGGGCATGGTGGCGTGCACCTATAGTCCCAGCTACTGAGGAGGCTGAGTCAGGAGAATCACTTGAACCCCAAAGGCAGAGGTTGCAGTGAGCCAAGATTGTGTCATTGCACTCCAGCCTGGAGACTCTGTCTCAAAACAAACAGACAAACAAAAAAACCCCAAAAAACTATGGATGTCTGGTCCCTACACCCAGTGATTAAGATTTAATTTGTTTCGGGTGCAGTCTGTAGACATCAGGGTTTTGAAAACTGCTCAGGTGATTGTAACATACAACCAAGTTTAAGAACCACTGTTTTTTTAGGTCAAGATCAAACGTTCTCTTTAAAGTGCCCACGTGGCCTGGCATATTTGGCCCTTGGTCACTTTCTAGCATGTAACTGCCACTACTCAGTAAATAATGAATGTAGGTTAATTATTAATGTAAGTTAAAAAGTAAAAAGCAAATTAATGACAGGATGAAAAGCAATAGGAGAGTTTTTTTTCTTCTTTCAGGTAGAAGATCTAAAGAGTTCAGAAATTAACTTCTAAATCACATTCTTTAATTAATAATAGTCTTAATAATGATGACGATAAGCATGAGGGTAATAATGTCCTGTATGACAGGCATAGTGCCAAGTGTTTTATATGCCTTATTTTATTTACATGCATTATTTTCCTCACTCCCCTTTCCTGACACATACGCACCTGCATGCACCCCCAAATGTCTTTCTCACTTTCAGACTTTGTCTCATGCCGAATTTCTGTCTGAGAGATCTCCTCCCAGTTTGCCTAGTTGAAAAGTCCTTCAGGGCCTGGGGCAATCCCCATGCCATCCACAATATACACAGTAATGGAAAGGTAAATCTCTCTCCCACCTGGCCTCCTTCAGCACTTACTTTGTGTGCTACATATTTTAGCATTAACTCAACAATTAATTTCCCTAAAACCTCCTCTAGTTGTTTCAGGTACATAATTCTTATTCTGACTTTAACAAGATTGAGGACTCTGGAATGACTTGAAGCATCAATATATATGTTAGTCACCAGACATTTCTTGAGTACCTACTATACACTAGGATTGTAGATTTGGCCTTCAAGGAGCTCAAAATCTAATAGGGGAAACTGATGGATAAACAGAAAATTCAGTGCTACCTAACATGTTCTCTATTTGAGGCATGACTGGAGGGCTGTGGGATTCTGAGGCTGGCTGGTGTGATTGGCCTCCCCTAGAGATGGGTCAGAGAAGGCGGATTGATCGTCACTAGTTGGCCTCTTCAAATCCACTCTCCACTCTGGGAGGCTGACCAATGTGTACCTCATCTATGAACTGACTCTTCAATTCATTCACTTATTTAATCACAGCTACTTACTAAGTCCCTGCTACATTTAAGGCACAAGCCTGACCTCCGGGGCTACAGTGCTAAACAAAAGAAGCCTGACTTCTGCCCTCAAGATTATTATCTCTTAGGAAGAGATAGGTCTTACATAGTCACAGGAGATGTGGGATTAAATATATATGCTATGATCTGAACATTTGTGTCCCTTCAAAATTCATATGTTGAAATTCTAACCCCAAAGTGATGGCATGAGGAGGTGGGAAATTTGGGAAGTGACTAGGTCACGAGAATGGAGCCCTAATGAATGGGATTAGTGCCCTTAAAGAAGGGACCTAAGAGACTGCCTAGCCCCTTCTGCCATGTAAGGACACAGCAGTAAGACAGTCCTGTAAAAACTAAGAAGTGGGCCCTCACCAGACACTGAATCTGCCTTGATATTGGACTTCCCAGCCTCCAGAACTGTGAGAAATAAATTTCTGTTGTTGATAAGCCACCTAGTTTATGGCTTTTTGTTATAGCAGCCCAAATAGACTAAGATAATATAATTACTAGTTGTGAAAATTGCAATGTAGGAAAAGAAGTGTTCCATGAGAAAATAATCAGGAGAAATGTCACATTTGTGGTAAGAACTTAAGGGAACTAGAGAGATTAATTGAATTAATAAACGAGTTCAAATGAAGGCAAATTGAAATAACTCAAGTCAATTTTTAGTATTTTTCTCATTGTTTCAGAGTGTCTGCTTACCCTACCAATTAATAATGTTTCTATGAGTGAACAAATTGTTATCAAAGAACTAAGAGAATTTTCATCCTACTTTGTTTTATTGGGCGTTGATTGTTTCAGGTGTCTGCTTGTTTTGTCTCTAACATCCTGTAAGTTCTCCCTGGTCATGGATTGAGTTTTCTCAGTTTTCTATTTTACTTTATTTTTTTGATGATCCAAAGTGCTGTAAGTAGGACAGAGCTTCTAGTTAACAGTCAACATCCAGTTGCTGAATAAAATGATTGAGTTTTGTAACTAATAGAATAGTTGGCTGTAGACAGCAAAACCTAGTCTTAGGCCTGGAAGCTGGCAGAACAAAGAAAAAAGTGTGCTGATTTGCATCTTCTCTTAGTTGAAAGAAGTCTTTATCCAATAGTCAGTGCAGGGGTCGACATCCACAGCATCTGGTCCAGCCTGTGTCCAGAGGCCCTCAGCAAGCCTGCGTCTGTACTTTCCGCCCTGGACACGAGGCCCCTCCATTCTGAGGTGCTGGATTGTCACACTCTCTTCTCCTTTCCTGGATGCCTGCTCTGCATACAGACCAGGAGCTCCAGCAACTCCAGCTCCCATCTGCTTTGGCTCCTGCAGAGGAAATTTCCCAGGGAGGAGAAGGTTAGCATATGGCTAAGAAGGAAGGGCCTGTCTGGTGATGAACAGGGAGGGGTGTGTGGCACCCTTGGGAGAGGAACTGGCCTCCCCTCCTCTGGTCGACTGCAGCTTGTTGGAGGTACGTACAGATAAGGTACATAGGGTCTTTGCTCCTTTGTTAGTCCAGATGTAGCAAGGGCAGTTTCACTGCAGAGACCATGGCAGTCAGGCTATTAATTGCCCCTGGGGGCTCTGTCCAGGGAGTTGCAGAGCTGCTACTGAGGAGGGAAGGCCATCCTGTTGCCTGAGAGTGGTCTGCAATCCTCCTTGGGGAAATGCCTTCAGGTAGCCAGCCAAGACCTCTGTGCTCACTGCCTTGCACTTAATTTGAAACTCTGGATGGAGTGAGAAGAGGCCACTGGGAGCCCATCTCATTAAATTGGAATCCGCAGTTCCATGGAAGATGGATAGCGGAGGGAGGCAGGAGGTGTGCTCCCTTGGAAGAATGACACAGAGTCAATGGAGGGTGTGAAGAGAGGGGAGCACCGCCCTCCTGGGGAGTCAGAGAAAAGGTTTGGCCAGACACCTCCCTGGAGAGGATTGCTAAGCTTTTGTATGAGGATCTGCAAATCAAACCCCCTCAGATTCTGGCAATGGAGCCGCAGAGGGTGACAGGCTGTCTGCACAGAGCATCTGAACACATGCACTGACCATGGACTATCTGGAAATCTAGCTCAGAGAATTACCTAGCCTGGGGCTCCGCCTGAGTTTTGGATGCTATCATATGAGAAGGATGGACTAATCCAGTGGTTTTTTTCAATGTTTATTTTTTTCATCACAATTTCATTTTTCCTAAATGAAATCTTACATAGACCCCCAACCTCTAAGTCAGATGAAAGTGGAGCTGCTCTATTTGAAGCTGGATGTCTGTCAGGCTCGCCCTCCTCTGCTGGGGCAGCTCTGAGACCCCAGGGCTCCTCAGATCACAGTGTGACTATCATTGGATTAGATTATCTCCAAGTTCCTTCCAGCTCTGTAATTATACTCCCTGATGGGGCAGCCACAGCAAGGCTCTCTGTCTCTTTCTCCCACCTCTGTGCCTCAGTCTCCATAGGCAAAGGTTTACTGGGAAAATTCCCAGGGACTGTAATGGGCCTCCATGGAATTTGACTGCCCTGCCTCAGACTTCCTTGCCAGCCCAGTCTCCATCAGGCTGAAAGTTCAGTATGACAGCCCCAAGGCCACCTGATGTCCACACCTTGCTTTGAACCAGGTTGATGGAGCGCCATGAGCTGCCTGCAATGAACTAACTGCACTGCCTGCAACTGAATGCAGGAGGAATGGGACCTTGGGAGCAGCCCTCTGTCTCCTCCCTCCCTGCAGATCATTACGTAATGCCCACACCTTCTCTGATACCCACCACGTGTGCAGGTGTCTCAGCCTGCCTGCCACTGAGCCTGGCACTGGACCATGGAGAGGCACGTCTGGGTAGCCCACACTCCCCCTTCTTCCTGTCTCTATGCTGTGTGGACAGGGATCCTAGCAAGTCACTGGTTCTGAGGGCCCTTGGAGTGCTATAATTAAATTACTCTGGCAAGGCTCACATCTGTTCCTTTAAGCCAGGCCAGATTGATAACCATGAACTGGTACATACCCCACTTTCCACTCCCCAAAATGATACTTACTGAAGTTGTCTCAGACCCTCTGCTCTCATTCCCCAAATTTCCTCACTCTTAGGATGTGACTCAGTAGGGTGTAATGTTTAAGAGATTGGGTCCCGGGTCCAAATCCTGTCTCTTTCATTCCCCAGCTAGGTGACCTTGAGCAAATTATCCAACCTTCCTTCTGCCCTGTTTTCCTCATCTGTAAATTGGGACTCATAATAGCATTTATGTCATAAGGTTCTTGGGAAAATAAATGAGTTCATACACATGCAGCTCTAACGGCTGTTACTAATAAGGCTTAGTTATTTTTTCTGTTCATTGATCTTTGGTCCCCTTGGGAATGCTGCCTGGCCAATGGGAAAATGGCGGCTACAACCCAGTCCATACCCTGCTTGGGAAGTCAGGAAAGCCCTGGGCCCTTGAGCTCGGCTGTATCAATCCAGAGTAGTTTTATTTTTCTCTCCCAATTCACCCATCTACCAAGCAGTGCCTTTTTTCCAGTTCACACAAGGAAGCTGGAATCTGCAGTTCCATGGAAGATGGAACTGGCCCTGGGAGTTGGTCTCCTTGGTTTGTATTCTCTGCATGCTCCTTCATAAGGTCATTGGCTTTCACTCACCCTCTTGGCTTACCTCTTTCAGCATACCTCCCACAGGACACAGGCAGCTCACTGGAACCCAGATTCTATCCCCTTTTGCCAGCAAAGGAGGAATTTGAACAAGTAACAACCCAGAACAATTCTCTACCAATGAAACATCCCACATGAAGCTGTCTCTTCTTTTGCTTATTAAAATACAGCCTACCACAAGTGTTAACTAGTTTAATCCTCAACACAACCTTTAAGGAAGGTTCCAATATAATCTCATTTTACAGGGTATGCCCAGATGGAAATTGGCAGCTTAGAAATTAAAGACCTGGGCTGAATGTGGTGGCTCATGCCTGTAATCCCAGGACCTTGGGAGGCTGAGGCGGGCAGATCACTTGAGACTAGGAGTTCGAGACCAGCCTGACCAACATGGCGAAAACCCATCTCCAGTAAAAATACAAAAATTAGCCAGGCATGGTGGTGCATGCCTGTAGTCCCAGCTACTCAGGGTGGGGGCAGGGCGGGCTGAGGTGGGAGAATCGCTTGAACCCGGGAGGAGGAGGTTGCAATGAGCTGAGATCACGCCATTCCACTCCAGCCTGGGTGACAGAGTAAGACTTCATCTCAAAAGAAAAACAAAAACAAAAAACTAAAGATCGGTTTGGTACCTGAGCTATGCTATCCTGCCTCCTACTTAGAACTACTCTCCCAATGAGGAAATAATAACTCAACATCATCTGATCTTAAAACCAGGTCTACTGCATGAAGATCCCCTTGAATCCTAAAGAAATTGGTATTTGTAGTTTGAAGCTTAAAATATTTAAATTCAATTTTGCATTTAAAGATTTTAAGCTTCAAACTACCAACTGCTCACCATGTTGCTATCCCTTGTTTAGGTCAGAGACTCAGAGATTCTGGGGGTAGGAAGGACCTTGAGGCTGTCTTGCCCGACCATCCCTTGGAAGAATGAATCTCTTCCAACTCCCTGAAAAGTGGTCATCTATCCCCCTCCCTCATTCTTGCTGCAGTACATGCAGAAGAAAGTCCTCCCTCATTAAGCCCTAATCCCTTTGCTATAGCTTCTCTCCTTTAGTCCTACAACCTAATCTCAGTGGCCATAGAATACAAGTTCCATGTCCTCCCACATGGCAGTTTATGTGGGACTTGTCCTTTCTGAGTCTTTCTTCTTCATGCCTAAAATTCCCAATCTTTCCAGATCTTCTTAATACATAGGTTTGAGCCTTCCCACTTCTCTGGATTGCCTGCTTTGCTTTGTCAGTATCCGGTGAGGTGTGGCACCAAGAACAAAAATCTTGGTACGCCAGAGAAGAATCTTATCCTGAGCTCTTGACTTTTGTTAACCCGTCTTTCACTGTGGGGCCGTCTGTATCAGGCTCCCACTGAGTGAACTGGGACTAATGGTTGGCCTGTTTCTTTCACATGGCCATTGAGCCACATGGCTTCAGCCCCCTCCACCCTGTGCTTCAACCCTTTGTTTTCTGGAGTCAATTGTAATACCTTGGATTTCCCATCCAGACTTCTTTGTTTTTCCCTTTGTGTTTTCTTCATTGCAATAGCCAATTTAGGTTAATGTGTACATTGATTAGGTAGTCCATACATTTTGCCATCATTTTATGTACCATACAAACAGTTTTATGTGCCTGAAAAAGTGGGAGCTTAGGAATTGGAACATGCATACTCTTGGGGCTAAAAGGGAACATAGATGAGAAAGCTAAGCCCCAGAAAGATGTGAACAATTAGTGTCTCACAGTGACTTAGTAAAGTATCTGGGATTCACATCCAAGTCCCCAGACTTCTTCATTTTTAAGCAATGGACTTTTAATGCTTGTTTGATAACTTTCTTCCCTGGTACCAGTTGGTTCATGTTGCAGTTATCTGCATTTAAACCTTCCTTGCCCAAACCTTGTTTTTAGTCATAACTTCTTACACTATAATGACAACTACCTATCTCTTTTAGTGAGTTTAATTGTGTTTCCTCAAAAGATATGTTCAAGGCAAACCCTTGTTACCTGTGAACATGACCTTATTTGGAAATAGGATCTTTGCAGATGAAATCACATTAAAATGAGGTCATGCTGGATTAGGGTGGTCTCAAACCCAGTGACTGGTGGTTCTTATAAGAAGAGAAACAGAGTTATAGAGGGAAGAATGCCACACGAAGACAGAGGCAGAGACTGGAGCGATGCATCTATAAGCCGAGAAATGCCAAGGATTGCTGACAACTACCAAAAGATAGGAGAGGGACTTGAACCACATACTCCCCCAGTCTCTGGCAGGAACCAACCTAGCCAACACACCTGACTTTGGACTTCTAGCTTCCAGAGGTCTGAAACAATACACTTCTGTTGTTATAAGCCACCTAATTTGTGATGATTTGTTATGGTAGCCCTAGGAAACTAGTTTATTCCTCCAGAAATGAATCCTGTTGTCCATATACATCTTGGCGAAAAACAGTTCTCATCTGAGAAAAGGTCTTGATGGCAAGGACAAAGCACAAGAACCACTAAATGTGATGGGTGAGTAACAGAACTCTCAAGGGTGGCTCCTAGGTATTGGCTAGGAGAGCTCCAAAAGGAGGGGCCGGGAACCCCAAAAGTCCTTTTTGCACTGGCCCCTTTGAGCTGGGACAGGCTGGAACTGGGTGGGGATGCACGGACCTTACCTTCTGTCTGTGTTTGCTCACAGGCAGCACCCAAGCTACCCAGGCGGCACTGGCACCTGCAGCTGGTGCCCTCGAGGATGGGCACCCCATTGTTGAAGCAAGGCCCACATCGGCAGGCATTGAATTCCATCAGATACTGGTCCAAGGCGCGGCGCAGGTTCTGGCGCTTGGCCTCCAGAGGCCCCAGGCTTGTGTGCCGCAGCACCTCGTGGATAGGCTGCATCTGTGGGCACAGAAAGAACACAGGGCCCCTCCCTGGGCTCTATCTACCTTCCCAGAGCCCAAGAACCGGCCACCAAGCTTCTGGAAGGCCTGATACATGCCAGGCACAGACACAGACACCCAATTTATCCCACCACCTTGGATCCTCACAGCCATTCTGTGACATAGGTATTAAACTCCTCAGCTCCTAGCAGAAGAAAGGGAGGCTCAGTGTTTAAGTGACTGGCTCAGAAGCACACAATTATTAAGAAATAATAATGAAGATCGGGTTTAGAGAGGGGCAGTTAAAAGTCCCAGCCCACACAGCTAGGACGTGAGGCACATTTACTTAGCTTTTACCATATGACAGGCCTTTCCCCTATATCATCTCCCTTAATCCTCACAGTGATCCTGGAGCAATGTGTGCATTCCTCACAAGAATCACCTACTTAACTCTGAAACCTGTGCACTCCCAATCCCAAGTGGGCTTAGAAGTTATTTGTGCCAACTCATCTGCCCTCTCCACCACATTTAGGAAGCAGGAAAAGTGTGTGTTTTAAATGTCAGCCTTCAATGCAGGAATTAATAAAATCCTTGACAGGTAGTGTTGTTGTCATTGCTGAGCAATTTCCCTAATGGTGTAACTGTGGCAGCTACATGTGGCTGGGTGGGAGTTATTTACAACTGATGCAACCCATTCCAGACATGACCGTAGTTCAGGGTTTTTCAACTTCGGCACTATTGCGTATCAAGTTGGATAATTCTTTACTGGCAGGAGTGGGCTGTCCTTGTATTGTAGGCTGTTTAGCAGAGTCTCTGGCCTCTACCCACTACATGCCAGCAGCCCCCTTCCAGTTGTGAAAACCAAGACTGTCTCCTGACATTGCCAAATATTCCTTGGGGGAAACAATTGCCTCGACTGAGAAGTAGTAGATGAAGCACAAGGAGGATTGAATCTGGAGCCGGAAAACCTGGCTTCAAACCCCAGCTACCCTGCTTCCGACTGTGTGATCTTTGGCACATGACACACGGAGCCTCCTTCCTCATCTGTAAAGGGAGAACAGTCATCACACCCTCCAGGATTATTGTGAGGATTAAGGGAGATGATATAGGGGAAAGACCTGTCACATGGTAAAACTAAGTAAATGTGACTCACTTTCTAGCTATGTGGCCTAACTGCCCCTGTCTAAGTCTGATCCTCATTATCTAGAAAATGGGAATAATACTTAATTCCCAGATTTCTTATGAGGATCTAAAGAAGTACTGAATGTGAGATACTACTGTACAAGGGAAGAATGACAAAAAATAAAGCACCATTTTTGTTAGTTGTATGTGATAATAGTAAAAAAAAAAAAAAAACCCATGTTTTTCAAATTGCATGCATATGTGGTTATCTTCAGCATGCTTATAATGTTATACATGTTAATACTTCATAAAAGGAAGGCACTTCTCCAGATCTCTCATTTTAAGGAGAGGAACCTGAGGCCCCCAAAGGGGAAGTGATTTGCCAAGGTCACAGAGCAAGTCAGCAGTAGGACTGTGCCAGAGCAAGTCAGCAGTAGGACTGAGCCACATTACGGTAGTCGCACTTCCCTGGAAACAGAAGTCAACTGAGGGCACTGGCAATAGCTTTGTCTGAGTTCCTGGAAATGTGTACAGAAAGACCTGTGGCAAACAGACTTTGGCCTGTGGTCAGGGGTTGCGGTTGAGGTCAGCAGGCAGGTAATATCAGGACTGGTAGGGTCCCCAGCCAAGGGGAGAAAACCACTTACTGGAAGTTCAGAGAATTCAGTCCCATTGTTAGGAAGTCAGCGTAGAATAGGCTGCCCTGTTGGCCTTCTCAAAGATGACTGTTAGTTCCAGGGAAAGCCAGGACCATTGAGCAATTTCTCTTTGACTTTCCAGTGGGGCTCTGCATCCAGTTCCCCACCTCAGATCTCTCCCTCCCAGGAACCACAGGAAGAGGGGAAGCCCTCCATAGGGTGGACTGGTGGAGTTAAAAGAGGAGAGAGAGGTGGAGAAGAGGGATCTTGGGACGTTAGAGCTTGAAAAGGTATTGGCAGTGATCTTGTTCCCGTTTTGCAGATGAGAAAAAAGACTCAGAGGTCAAATGATACAATATAGCAACACAAGATAATGCATAATAATATATCACACAACACAACATAACAAAATAACATAACACAAACGTAACATAGCAGGACTCCTACATTCACAAACTCTAAGCACTTGCTATAAATAAGCACTGCTGAACTCTGGGGTATATGCAAGTGAATAACATGCTGTTTCCACTCTGAACATCAGGCTCCAAATAACCCCTACCTGGTCCCCTTGTCTGTAATCTCTCTCTTCTTCAAATCACCCTTTATTTCCCTGTGAGCATTCTCTTTTTAAAACACAGTGCTAGCTGTGTTACTTCCCTGCTATAAAGCCTGCCCGTGGCTTAATGCATTGAGTCCGAACTTCTCAGGGGGCAACATGAGTTGTGAAGAGACTGAGGATGTTAGTGTCAGTCAAACATGACTCGAGTTGGACTCTATCATTTGCCAATTTCGAGATATTGTGCTGAACCTGTTTCTTCAACTGACATTTACCAAGTAACTTCTGATCTCCTGAGTCTTGTGAAATATCTCTATGTGATAGAGCAGGAAACTGAGGCTCAGTGAGGGAAGTAACTTGTCAAAGGTCACACATTGAAAAAGCAGCTGAGCTATGACCTAAATTATGTCTTTCTCCTCCCTCTCACCCAATCCTGCCAAAGCCTGGGCTCTTTCCCAAAAGACTGTAGTGGTCTTCTCCAAATGATGACCCTGAGTCTTCCCAGGGAAGTTTTTCTCAAGGCAAACACCAAGTTCACCTCTTGCCTATGAAAGTTTATGTATTACTCCTGATATCAATTTTACAGTTTTTGCTCAAATCACTAATAGCTTGATGATATCAATTTTCAAACCTTATGTGAATTACAGTTGCATGAAAATGGTCTCTTACTTATTGAAGAAGAAATAAAATCAAGGTTGATCCATCTGACCTGTTTCTTCACAGAAACCAGGGTGTTAGAATAGACTTCTAGGTTTAACTGTAGGCATATGTTTTAAGAGGAGGACTATATCCATATCTGGGATTTTAAATATATGTAGAAAAATAGGCAAGGGTGGGGAGAAAATGGATGAGAAAATGATGATCTTTTGCTTCAAAGTCTGAAATGCAGTCTCTTAAATGGACTACACCACATATGGACAGAAATAGTTTGGCAACTGCTAGAACAATCACTTCCTTTGTGGTTAAAATAGAATTTTTCACACTTTGTGAGGTTAAGCATTTAAGGCAGGGTTTCTCAATTTTGGCAGTATTGACACTTGAGGCCAGATATTTCTTTGCTGTGGGGTCTGTTCTGTGCATGGAAGGATGTTTAGCAGCATCCCAGGCCTCTGCCTCCTGGATGCCAGTAACACCTCCTTGCCCCACTGTGGGTGGTGACAAAAATATCAAAAACATCTCCAGACATTTCCATATTTCCTCTGTGGAGGAAAACTGCCCCTAGTAGCTGAGAGCCACTGCTTTAATGGAGGTGCTAGGATAGAGAGAAGTGAGAACTGGATACGAAGTCCAAAGGTCTGAAATCCAAGCATTGCCACCTCTGAGCTATATGACCTCAAATATTTTCACTTGATTTTTCAGAGCCTGTTTCCTAATCTTTTTAATGGGAGGGAATAGTATCTATGACAGAGGTTCCTCTAATGGAGAGATGAGATAACTGTGGAGGATGGTAGCAAATTGCAGCCTGGGTCCAAGTCCAACCCACAGCTTATTTTTGTATGGCCTTTGAGCCAGGAATGACTTTTATATTTTTAAAGAGATTTGATGAAGAAGAGAAAGAAGAAGAACTAATACTACTACTTTGTGTATTATAGATTGTATGTGTCCCACAAAGCCTGAAATATTTACTATCTGACCTTTTACAGAAAAAGTTTGCCACCCCCTAATTTAGCCCATGTGATTTTTGAAGTGTTTTATGTATAAATAAAAATCATGATTTGCCTAATGTGACCTAATGCTGAGGAACTTCTGGGATGAGCAGTGTAAAACTAGGCACTGACTAGATCATCAGTTTCTGATCCCAGCTGTCCCGTGGCCTGGGTCTGAAGTCATGCACTCCCTGGAGTCAGGCACAAGCAAGGCCACTAGTTCAGTGTGCCATTACATTTAATCTTGTTCTTTGATGGGCTCATAATAAGAAATATGAAATGATCTGGTCTGCTTCACTTTCATTCCTCATGGACGTAGAGTTTCTTCAACTGCGAAAAGACTTACCTCAAAATCGATAACAACAGGATTATACTTTAATGACCTCCCCCAGGAACGGTATGTAATGGTGCTCCTGTTCTGTGCCAAGCCACCGCTCCAGCCAGAACTGCCACCTCGCACCCGAGAAATAATGTCTTCCACAGCCATGGCCTTCCTGGCCCTTTCTGCCATCAAGAGGATAAACTGCATTAACTCATTTCCCAAAAAGCCCAAGGACTGGTTGACAAACCCCACTAATGAGATTTGGAAGAAAGTTTACATGTTTTCCTTAGATGTTTACCATTCTTCTTCTCTTCTTGGTTAGCTAGCAGGACAAGGCAGAAGGGAAGGACCAAGACTCAGAAATAGACCCATCCTCTGGAGTGGAGAAATACTGAGAGGACAGCCCAGACCACATGGAGGATAAGGGGAACAGGAAATGGGTGGTCATTCATTTATTCATTCATTCACTCATTCATTCTTACATCAAATATTTACTCAGTGCCTGCTATATGCCGAATAGGTTCAATCAAATATTATAGGTGCTATAGGTACAACAGATGTTACTATAGGACTCAATGTGGGCACAGTGAAAGAAACTAGTTAGCTATACAGTAGGGGGTGTGGGAGGCAGTCAGAAAGAAAGGTGAGTTGTCTACAAAGGTTAGTGAATATTTGCCAGGTAAATGAAGAGAGGATAGAAAGAGAGAAGAAACAATTTGACTTAAGGCCCTGAGGTACAGGTAACCTAATGCAATAGGAATAGCTTGAACCTGATTAATATCTATTCCACCCACTGCATTATAAACTTCTTCATCATCCCTGTATCCTCTGTGTCTCCCACTTGGGGAAAAAAACTCAATACCTGTTTGATGAATGGATGAGTAAATGAACACATGAACACCCCAACTGACTTGTTCAGGAAATGCCATAAAATATTCCTGTACAATCCCTCTCTAATAATTATTCTTTGAGCTTGGACTCGGTACCATATTCTCTCTCAACAGCCTTATTTCCTCCCTCTGAACTGTAATATGATGGGTCTTCATTCAAACAGCCCATTTTCCAGATTCCTTTCATTCTAGTTCTTACTTGGACCTTTGTCTAACCCTTGAAATCTAGGAGGGTGCCCCGTATAAAGGTAGGTATTTCTAAGGTGATTTTAAGCCCATGGTAGATTCAAAATAAAGCCACTGCAGGTCATTGTTTTGGGGTATTTAGCGTCTATGCAGTCTGATCATTGACTAAAATGCAATCAACTGGGAAAAAAAATAGCTTCCATGTCCCAGTGTGTGTCCAAAGGAAAGCCTGGCTTCTCTTTTTGGGAGATCTATTACTAAACACTTGCCAGTTTTGCCACCTCCAAATTTTTTACAATGGTCTCCTGATAAACCTCCACCAACATTTATTTTGTCTTCATATTGAATGCCCAAGGAGCCTCCAAAACATGTCGTGATATCTCTGCTGGTAATACCTGCAACAGGGAGACAGAGAAACACAAAATGCTGAGTTATTAAAAGACACTTGACATGGTACAACTATGTCAGAGTAGTAAAAGCTAGCTTCAGCTTTGGAGTCCAAAAGGCCTGGGTTGAAAGCCCGGTTCTTTAATCCAATTTCAGTTTTCTCTTCTGCATGGTTCCAACCAAAATAATTCTTGAAATGAGAAGAGATATGTGTTGCACATACTAGTTGGTAAAAAATGCTAGCACTCTTTCCTTTGACCATTCTTTATTGAGCCACCTTGAGGCAATAATTCTATCTCATCCTTCTGCATTTGCCCCCATGCCTACCTCAGTGCCCGGGCCATGATAGGCACCATTACCCTGAACTTTTGCACATATTTGTCCCTACTCTAAATGCCCCTCCTCCTCCCTTTCCATCATCTTTCCAAAGGCTACTCAAGCTTCCATTCAAATGTCATTTACTCCATGAACTATTTTTAGATCTGAATAATTCCCTCTTTTTTCAGAGCTACCGATGTTCTCTGTGCCTGAATGATCATCTTCATCACAATTCTCTTTGTCCAGATCCTCTTTGCGCCCCAGAGAGGCCAAAGTCTTGCTAGAAGATGGATGGATCACCATGGAAAGTTTACCTGCCCTTCAGACTCCGTAAAGACTGTCAGGCCCACGTTAGCCATCTCTGTATTTGTCTACATCTGAGGACCCACTGAGGAACCTGCATTTTGTAGATGAGGAAAATAATTCTCAAAGCAGTAAAGCCACATTGCTATGTAAATAAACAGAGCTGGGTTTCCAACCCTAGGTATGCCTGGCAAGATAAAACTAGATAAACAGACTGGAGGAATATTGCCCATGCTACAGAGTTCAACCTTTTCGGTAGCTAAAGGAGTCATCTGGAAGTTGTAAATGGGAGTTTGTATTTTGAGACATGATTCCTTTAAACTACAACTATACAAAATAATTATTTCCAGTCATACTGTTATTCTATCAACCATAAAGGAAAAATAATTTAGACCTGTCATTCAGTTGAGCTAAAGATTAGATTCACTATTTTCAAGGGAGTATTGAGCATCAAAGTTTATTTGCCTGTGTCCCCATTAAACAGCAAACTCTGTGATGTCAAGGACTTGCGTCTAATTCACCATTGTCTTGTTAGCGTAGCAATGTGGTGTGTGCCGTGTTCAGTAAGTACTTTCAGAATAAATGATTGATGAATGAAAAAAATGAGTAAATAAATGAATGCCCCGAGTCTTTTGGTAAGGGTTTCTGATGGAAGGAAACTTAGAAGTCATAAGTCCTAAATTCAAATTCCAGTCACTAACACCCTGTATGATCCTAGGAAAGGCCCATGATCCCACTGGGCCTCCATTTCCCATTTATGGAAAGAAGAGGTTGTCATCTCCAAGACCCCTTTCAGCTGCAGCCCTCTGTGCCTCTTTGGATATCAGTTTCTGAGTCACTCCTGAGCTGAAAGTGCTTGGGGAAAGTGATGCTCTGAGCACCGGCACTCAGCACTGAGCAAAGGGCTTCTTCTGCCATTTCCATTCAAACACTTTTAATTTTTAATGCATTACTAATTGGGGGAAGATTTAGCAAATTTAATTGTTTTGATTAAAAAATGCTTCAACAGTGATAAACAAAAGTGGATGAAAAGAATTCACTGGCAGAAGCCAGAGTGATTACTTAGGTGGATGGTGGAGTGCTGCTGAATTAAAGCCACAGGACAGGCTGATTAATGGGGGCTGGAGGATGCCTGTTGTGTGATTATGCTCATGAAAGATCTGGCAACAGCCTGCCACGTGATGCTGGGAGAAGAGAATTCCAGTCTGACTTGAGAAGCATGACTTGACTGCAGAGATTTGCCATCTAAGACCCCAAAGAGGGTCCCAGCCAGCAAGGGGAGTCTGTGACTTACAAAGAATCATAGAACCTGAGAGCCCAAGCACTCTTAGACACTTAGCTCATACTTTTCATTTATAGCTGAGATGCCTGAGGTTCATGAAGGTTAATTATATTGCCTAAGGCCATACAGTTAAAAAATGGTGAAGCTGAGATTCACGCTCAAGTCTGTTATGTTTAGAAGCCTGTGGTATTTTACTAATCTCAGTTATTGCCTCAGACAAAAGAATTCTGCCATCTGAGAGGAAAATGTAGTAAGCACCTACTGTGTACCATCCCCAGCATATCGCATATTGGGCAATGTAGACACCTTGAGAATATAACTAATGTGAATATGATGCAAAACTGCAAAGGTAAGATCCTGCCCTTGAGAAGTTAGCAGGCTGGGGGCCATATCTTAAATGAAGACCAATCTGTATCCCGAGAGTTTTTTGTTTCAATATACCAGGGCTAGAAAGGAGTCTTTCATCAGAGGCTGTAAGAGATGCCAAAATCAGAGCTGTCTACAGTGAGCCTGTGGGAAAATGACACTAACAAGTTGGGGTCGGGTCAGAGGAAGTCAAACCTGGTACCCAAATCCAGGAGTTGAAACTGGCATTGGAAGCCAGGACGCAGAACCAGAGAGATAAACAGAAAGAGTTGGAGGTGGGGGTCTGGGGTGAAAGGAACAGAGAAAGGTCTGGAGCCATTATAAAGAACTTGCCCAGATAGGTGTGTAGTGTGGATAGACTGACTATATTCATGGAACTAGACAATCCTCTGCCATTGCTCCACCTCATCCCATCAGGCTGCACTCCTTAGGCTTAACTTTGGACCAGGTCAAACTGCAGTTTATTTGGGGCTTTTGAACTCAGTGAGCTCTGGAGTTGATCAATCCCAACCCAGGCTGTACATTGAGATCATCTGGAGTACTTTTGAAAAATATAGGTAACTAGGCCCAACCTCTATCAATTCTAATTGTATATTTCTATGAAATCAGGAATCTGTTTTTCAGACAAGTATCCCAGATGATTCCTCTTCATTGGATCTTGGATCAGATGTTGAGTATGGTGGTCCTACAGAGTATCTCTGGTGGCTTGCCACAGGACTCTGGCATCCTGTCTCAGTTGATACCTTTGTCAATGCCTTGGATATGGACTTAGTAGCCAGTTCCATCATATCTACTCAGAATAAGAACTAGAAGAAGCCAAGGCTAAGTCAGTTAAAGAAACAGGATCCAAAAAGGTCTCAAAAGGCTGGGTGGATACACTGACCAAGTGTATTAGTCCATTCTCATGCTGCTAATAAAGACATACCCAAGACTGGGTGATTTTATAAAAGAAAGAAGTTTAATTGACTCACAGTGCAGCATGGCTGGGGAAGCCTCAGGAAACTCACAATCATGGAAGAAGGGGAAGCAAACACATCCTTCTTCCCATGGCACCAAGAAGAAGTGCCAAGCAAAGGGGGAAACCCCCTTATAAAACCAGCAGAACTCATGAGAACCCACCCATTATCATGAGAACAACATGAGAGTAACCACCCCCATGATTAAATTACCTCCCACCAGATTCCTCCCATGAGACGTGGGGATTTTGGGAACTGCAATTCAAGATGAGATTTGGGCGGGGACACAGCCAAACCATATCACCAAGCATAGCAAAATGAGACTGAACTGGGAAAACTTTAACATCCTACCCTACAGACAAAATACCAAATGAATAAGCACAGTGAGAAATAGACAGCTTAGCGGGAGAACAAAAGAAAAGGCCTTAGAGTTTTAGATTACTCCCCACTCAGTAGGGTAATGAAACCAGGGTACAAATTATAATTAGTAAAATGAAGGAGGAAGTAATCTCACTCTCCTCTCCATAGATTAGGGAAACTCAGAGCTGTGTGCAAAAATGCTTTAAAAAATGAAATAAGAAAATATGATTTTCTTCAATGAACATTATCCAGCCTTTAAAAAGAAGAAAATCCTGCCATATGTGACAATGCGATTGAACCTTGAGGATATACTGCTATATGAAATAAGCCAGTCACAAAAGGATAAAGACTGCCTGATTCCACTTATATTAGATATATGAATAGTCAGATATATAGAATCAAAGGGTATCATGGTTGTTGCCAGGGGCTGGGGGCAAGAGGAAAGGTAGAATTACTAATCAATGACCATAAAGTCTCAATTATACAAGATAAAGTCTGAGAGCAACATGTCCCTATAGTTAATGACACTGTATTGTACTGTTAAAGTTGGCTAAGAGGGTAGATTTCATGTTAAAGTATTTTTACCATAATAAAATTTAAAAATAGGGAATGATCAGAGAAGAACAAGCATGAGGGTGAAGATGTTCAAAGCCACATCCTTTTGAAAATATTAGAGGCGACTAAGGATATTTACTTGAAGAAAGGAAAAAAGATTTATCTTTAAGAGAGACCAGTAGAACTGGATTAAACCCTCCAGAGAGTTGTCTTGAGGAAGAAGAATAAGGTTTATTTGTGTGGTTGCAAGGGCAAGAACTAGGACCCAAAGGCCAAAAGCTACAGGAAGGCAAGTTTAGGCTTAGCATAAGGTCGATCATTATCACAGTCAGAAGTCAAGCAGAGATGAGGTGTTTCAGCAGGCAGTGAGCTCTCACCATTGCAGGAGACCAAGCTGAGGCTGGCTGTTTGCCTGTGAGGGTACAGGAGGGTTTGAAGGGTAGAAAAGACCAGCGATCTTTTAAGGTGACCTCTAATGCCATGATCCTGAGACTTTAAGAACACAGCAGAATACTTTAAGAACATTTGAGACAACTTTGATAAGTACCTAATGACGTTTTACTGTGTTAGAGCTAGTTGAGAAATAAAGATGACTCAGGAGAGTGCTTGACCTCTATGAGCTGAGAGTCAAGTGTGGGGAAATGGACAAGGAAACAGATAATTATTGTAGTGTGCGAGGAGGACTCTGACACAGGGCAGCAGGGTCAGGGAAGGCATCTGTGGGGGTCAGAAGAAGGAGCCAGAGACAAGTAGAACAAGTAGGGATTAGCCAGACAAAGCTAGGAGTATAATGGGAGATGAGGGAGACCCTGCAGAGGACTTGTTTCCTCAGCAGCAAGATTCTACTCAGAAAAGCCAATGTGACTTAAACTCCAGAGTGGAAAAGAGAGAGATGCAAATCAGTTGAGGTCCCTAAGGAAGTACAGAGGTAGTGGGATGCTGGATTGCTTCCCAGTCTAGTCTGGTCTCAAGGTGAGCTGTTTCTGTGGCTACTTGACAGGCTAGGAGCCCAAAGGATATGAGTCTGGCCACCATGTCTTCTACTTGTTTCCCACATGGTCTTGGTTGTGGCGCAGGTGGGAGAGCCACCCTCACACCTCCATGGAGCTTCTGCATGTCTGTGGCTCTCAGGCAGAACCAGGCAGCTTGATTTCCAAGGTGCCAGAACACTGCAAGTCTGTCATTCCTCAGATTAAAAGCATTAGGTGGAAAACAGCAGGTGTAGTTCATTATCTCTTTGCAAAAAACAAATACCATTCATGTTGCTGTGATTTATGTGCTACATTGCTTTGCTATGTTGGTTGCCCCCAAAGACAGCCTCAGAATGGGAAAGAGAATCTAATAGTCTATTTTCTATCATCACATTGGAAAAGATGATTGGAGTGTGTGGCTGGGCTAGTTGGGAGGTGTTAGCTAACTCACCTGTCCCCTTTGTGTTTCTGTTTATCCTTTAAAACTCACACTTCTTCCAAAACACCTGAGAATAAAATGAGTACCTCAGTGCCTTTGCAGGTGCTAGAAAGTCCCTTTATCTCTTTCATTGAGCTTCTCCCACTGAGCTCCAGACAGCCTTTTCTTAATCCCCAAGGGCCCTATGTCTATGTTCCAGTGTATCCCTGTGCTTCTCTCCAGCATAGTATTTAGCTCACTCTAGTAATTGTCAATTTCTTGGTCTGTTCTTCCTATAAGACTACAAGCTTCTAAGTCATCTCTCGGGTTTGCAAATCTCTGCACAGAGCCTGGCATGTGCCAAGCCCCCCAGGAGGGCTTGGGGATTGGCTGACTTTAGCCTATATAGACAATGCCTCTAAAACGTTCTAGGAGTCATAGGTCTTTCTTTAATTGAAGATGCAAATCACAGTTTTGTAATATCTCATGCTAGATTAATATGCTATATTTTATAAAGCACTTTCAGCTGCATTATCTCATTGGAGACTCTGAACAATATTCTGGGACAAGGAGAATTTACCCATCTTACAGGCTAAGATTGGAAAAAGCAGGAATTGTGGTGGTTAAGAGTGTAACCTCTGGGGTCAGAGTCCTACCATTCACCTTCTCTGGTAGTGACTTGAGTAACTCATTTAATGGCTTTCTGCCTCATACTCCCAATCTTTAAAACGGGAATGATAATTGTTTCTATAAGTGAATTCCTAAAACGTGTCTGGCACAATTAGGTCTTCAATAAATACTAGCTTTTATTGTTAGGTAACTTGCCAAAGTCACCCAGGACTAACAGGCCCAAGAATCAGGTCTTGAAGCAAGATATGCCATACTCAAACACAATGGATGCTCCATTTCATCATGCTACTGTTATTCTGCAGAGGAACATTCATCATGCATGGTGTGTAGCCAATGGTAGTCCTGAAAGGAGCCTTCCAACTCCTCATTCCCTGACTACCTCATTCTACAAAGAAGCTTAGAGAAAGGAAGCTAGGCAGAAGAAGGAGGCAATGTTGACTACAGTCCCATGTCTTCCTCCTACTTGATAAGGGTTCTTCAGAGGCTCTGACTCTTCTCCATAATTTCAGCCATGACAAGAGACAGCGTAGATGAAGGCCAAATTCTGAAACAGAGACTACCTGAGCTGGAATGCCACCCCTGTCCAATGACTATGTGGGCAAATTGTTTAACCTCTCTTGCCCCAGTTTTCCCATCTGTAAGATGGGGATTTTAATACTGTCTACCTCCCAGGGTTGTTGTGAGTGTTGAATGAGTTAATCCATGCCATGTAATGTGCTCTGGACAGTGCCTGGTTCAGAGCTAGCAATCACAGTCAAGTGTTGCTATTACTGCTGTTGCCAGAAATGCTGCAGCCTACACTGAGGCTTTTGGCTCCTGATTTGGAATCTGAAAAGTTAGAAAAAGAGGGAGGCTGAGGAGTTTGTAAAATCAGGTTTTCTTAATGGGCATTTCTGCAGTATAAGTGGTTAGCCCAGGAGCGAGTGGGGAGGACAAGGGCACCCGGTGACTTCATAGGCACTATTATGTACTGGGTGGAGATATTCCATGTGTTAGCTCACTCAGTGTTCACACATCATGCCACAATAGGAATGATCAGTCCCATTTTAGAAAGGAGTAGGTTGAAATAGTTTAAACTTAACTTAGATAGCTTGTCACTTGCCCAGGTTATACACTAAGTAAATAACAGAACTGGGATTGAACCAAGGCCTGTGTCCAAAGACCACGTTCTGTATGCCATATTATACCGCCTATGGGAAAGAGAGCTAAGGATGGCTCTGGGAAGAATGTTGACACCATCTCAGCTTTTCTCCTTTAAGTATGAAGCTGTTCTCAGTGATATTAGAGGTGGAAATTCAAAATCAAGACAAAATCAGAAGGATGGTGCTGAGAGTCTCAGTTCCATGTATATGCAGATGACTTAAGGGGAGTAAGGACAGAGCCAAGAAACTAGGAGTCTGTCAGTCAATCAATACCATCCATCACCGTGAAGACTGGTTGTCATGGTAACTGGGGATAAAGCCTGGAGCTTGTTAGAATCTAGTGACTGTCTGTTCGGGTGACTGGTTGGTTAGCAGGAGCAAAAATAAATAAATAAATAAAAAGACCTGCTGGGCTGTCCCAGAGCCTTTAGCCATGAACATAGGACCTTTTACAATAAGATTCCTGCCCACCTTACCCTCCTTATTGTCCAATTCAGTTCAGAACTTTAGGATACCACCCCTGACTCTGCAGTGTTAGGAAAGCTCTGGAGGCTGCCCAGCATACATGGGCTCAGATTTGGAACCACCCCAGCTAGAAAGACGCTGAGTCTCTGCTGTGGGCCATGCTCAATCAATGGGCAAGACTCTGGGATGCAACATTAACAGGATGCACACTGGACACAAGCAGCTGCAATAGTGTGATACTCAGATCTAAGTCCTGAGTACACTGAAGCACCTAAAACAGGCTTCCAACCCAGAACTGAGGAGACAGAAAGACTGCCTGGAAGAGTCCTATTTGAGCTAAGCAGAGAACTGAGGATGAATAAGCATAAACCAGGTGAATAAGGAAGGGCAGAGGGAGAGGTGCAAAATTCCAGGTAGAAGAAATAGCATATGCAAATCAAGGAGAAAGAGTATGGTAAGTCCAGGGACCAGTACGTTGCTCAGTATAGTGCACCCCAATGGTGAACAATGAGCTGGAGGTCTGTGCATGCTCACTGAAATGCTGGCCTTCTTTTCCAGACGCAGAGGCTCTCTTGCTTTCAGTGTTCACCTTGCATGATTCCTGCAGCTTGCCATCCTCTCTGTGGTTTCTGAGAGGTCAACACTGACTCTAGCCACTGTTATCATCACTATTCCTGGCATAATCCAGCCAAGATTGTTCTCATTTATGCCCTGGCCTCAGCAGCAAGCCCTTCCAAAACCGAGTCCAACCTTTGAGTGAATCTGGACATTCATCTCCTTTTACTCATCCTTACCTACTTGCTGCCCCAACCATTCCCATGCAACTCCCTTCTCTTCCAGGTAAACTTCTACTCCTAGTAATTTTGGAAGATGAGTTTTGAATGTCTTTAGGGTCTAGCAAGTGGGAGGGGCAGAAAAAGTTGTGGCTCCCTCCTTTGTGCTTCTACTGTATTTGTTTCTATTTAAACATTTATCACATTATGTTATTCTTGGCACCCAACTGACTGCACATTTCTCCAGGGAAGGGCTCTGTGTGTCTCACCCCTGTGTTCCCAGAAATCACGGGTGCTCAGTGAGCATTTACTGAATGAGTGGATGAATGGATGAATGGAGATTAGATTACGAATACGGTTTTTCCCCTGAGATTGTTTCCTGTTTCCAACTTTGTGCAACAAGGGTAAATGCTCTACTCAGAATCTTCCTGAAAGGGAGTTATAATCAAACAACCAGCCATGATATATAAATGTGATGGTAATTTAAGGGACTTTGATTAAATGTCTTTCCCACCCCAATCACTCTCCTCACATGGCTTAATCATCTGGGCTGCCTTTGTCTTATTTTAATAACTGTATAGTAAATACACAGCCCAAGAGCCCTGTTGCCCTCAGTCCCCAGCCTCTGGCAGACATCACTAATCGATGATAGCACTTTCTGGCTGAGCCCGCATCTTGTGTTCCAATCTTCAACTCAGCAGTCTAGGTAGCATTTGCTATTAAGACCACTTGCCATCCCTGGCTTAGACACTTCTTCCGACATGCAAGTCTCTGAGGTTCACCTCTTTGAGTGTCACCAGCCAGCACACTCTGCTTGTTCCTGGCTCTGTGCCTGTACTTAAGTTTCAGAACAATCTCATGCTTTTCAGTTTAAACATTAACAATTCTCCCAGTTACAATTCCCAATCAATGGGTCAAACTGACTCAACATTACATTTAGAAATAGATATAAAAATAATACTCCCTTAATTATTTTTAAAACCCAATTTACTCACTTTCAAAGCTATCACAACAGTTTGATGTTCTTAGAAAGGAAAATAAATGAAATAAAATATCTAGGTTTACTGCAAGAAACACTGCACTTGGAATTAGAAAGCTGGTTTCAAACCTCGCCCTGCCTCTGACCAGCTGTGTCACCTTGGACATGTCATCTTGCCTTTCAGTGCCTGGTGGTCCTCATCTGTGAAATGAGGACAGCCATAAAATAGAGCTTGAAGGGTTGCCACAAGGCTTGGATAAGATGATGTGTATGAAAGGGCTCAGCGTGCCACCTGCCACAGAGTTAGAACCCAGTGATGCTTATTCCTCTATTTCCACTGAGATACACTCTTGGAAGCACTTGATTACATGAGACTTTCCAGACCTAGCTCCACAGTTGTTATTGACATCTGCTTCCAGCTTTCCCACATGTCTATCTTCCTATGATGGTTAATTTCATATGTCAAGTTGACTGGGCCGTGGAATGCCTAGGTATTTGATCAAACATTATTCTGGGTGTTTCTGGGTGAGATAAACATTTAAAGTGCTAGACTTAATAAAGTAAACTGCCCTTTCTAATGTGCATGGGCCTCATGCAATCAGTCGAAGGACTGACTAGAACAAAAAGACTGACCTTCCTCTGAATAAGAGAAGAGTCTTCCTTTCTTCAACCTGGAACATTGGCTTTCATTTCCTGCCCTTGGACAGGAAATGTTGAATGGAAATGTCAACTCTTCCAGGGTCTCAAGCCTGCTGGCCTTCAGACTGGAAATACATCACTGGCTGCCCAGGTTCTCGGGCCTTCAGACTTGGACTGAAACGAAAGCATCAGCCCTCCTGGGTGTCCAGCTTGCCGACTGCAGATCTTGGGACTTGTCAGACTCCATATCACATGAACCAATTCATTGTAATAAATCTCTATATTATATATACATTTTATATAAAGATAAATAATAGAGACAGATACAGGTATTCTATTAGTTCTGTTTGTCTGGAGAACCTGACTAATACACTTCCCAATGCCTCCCTTAGGGCTATTGATGATTTTTCCTTTATTTAAAGTAATTAAATATGTTTTTATAGTTAGTAGAGCACACTGAGTTAAGACTGTGTTTTCAATACTTTCTTGACCACTCTCAAAGTAAGAAATACATTTTACATCATGATCAGTCTACACACATTCATTTAAAAGAAGTTTCTTTTCTTTTTGAGACAGGGCCTCTCTCTGTTATCCAGGCTGCAGTGCAATGGTGTGATCTTGGCTCACTGCAACCTCGACCTCCCAGGCTCAAGTGATCCTCCCACCTCATCCTCCCAAGTAGCCGGGACTACAGGCACATGTACCATGCCTGGCTAGTTTTTTGTTTGTTTGTTTAATTTTTATAGAGATATGGTCTCCCTATGTTGCCCAGGCTGGTCTCAAACTCCTGGGCTCAAATGATCCTCCAGACTTGGCCTCCAAAAATGCTAGGATTACAAGAAGGAGCCACTGTGCTTGGCTTAAAAGTTTAAATACTTAACTACACTTTGTGTGACATACTTTGATACTTTGTGTTCTATTACATTTTATTTTTTAAATGCTGATCATGACCCACTGAATTTCTTTTACAATCTACTAATGGGTTATGGTCTGAAGTTTGAAAAATCCTAGGTTAAGGCATCCTTGAGACATTATAGCACCTTGCTTAACATTACAGGTTCTTGAGTTTGACTTCACCAAGTAATAGCTATGTGACCTTGGGCAAGCTATTTAACAGAAAATCACTGAGTCTCAGTTCTTCTTTTGTGAATTGGAGATTATATAATAGTATCCTCTTCACAAGTCTCTCCTGAGAATTAAATGAGATGGTGCATTTAAGGTGTTTACCCTAATGTCTACCACACAGTGAATACTCAGTAAATCTTGGCTGACTTACCACCACTGCTAAAGTCTAAGCCTCTCACATATAGTATCAGAATGAATGACAGAATGTATGGAAAAAGGGATGAGTACTTGGAAGATATACAAAATCTAAATCAGAAGACCTAGGTTCAATACTAAGTGAGTCACACTGAGCCATTTACTTAACCTCTTTGGATTTCAACTTTCTTTCTATAAAACTGGGGAAAATAACAATATAATTCCTCATAAAGTTATTATGAGGATCAATTTGAATGCCAGATGTGTTATGCTCTACAAATAGTAGATGTTATTATACGCAAAAACATTGTATTAAAACAAAATAGTGAATAAGAAAATAAATTGCTAGTTCACTTTGGGTGGTAACCAATTTGGCTGTCCACAGAGTAAATTATCCCTGACCATAATCTGATGATTATGACAAAGAGAAACCCCCTTACTTTCTATGAGCCCCCTGATGAGAGGGACAATGTATTAAGCATCTTGGTATCTAGACAGTGTTTCCCATGTTATGTGTACTTCATAAATGTTTGTCGAGGGAAAGGCTAGAGGACTGAATGAAATACAGGAAGGCAGGGAGGGAGGAGGAAGAGGATGTAGAGCTATAATTGGCATTAACTTTGGTGAGGTTTTAACTTCTGTCCCTGTAGCTTTTTAGACATTGTGTGTTAGGTGGTAGACTGGCTGGTCCACAAGCCCTGACTGGAATAAGATGATCAATAATAGGTTGGATGTACTGAACTCTTGCTGGAAGGGTCTTTCCCAGGGTCACTGTTATCTGGTATCCATCAGGGCCAGGGATGATGGAAAGCACACACTGATTTGAGCAGAGTTGTTAACACTTTGAAAGATAGTGATGAGAGTTCAAAGTGACCTTGATAAATGGGAAGAGTGGTCCCTCCAAAACTGGATGAAGCTCTGGAGACAGAAATGAATGACCTTGATCAAAGAAATGGGCAGGTGGAGGAGGAGGCATGATTGCTGAGGCTCCAAGTCCACAGCAAATATACCAGACACTGCAGGCTGGACATCATGATAATGATTTCCCTCCCAGTTGAGCAATGTTTCAGAGCTGGGTGTTTGCAGAACTCTGGGAGATGGATCTTCCTCTTATCCCCACTTTACAGATGAGAGAACAGTTAACATTCCAGAGTTGATAACTGTAATTTGAGAATAATAAAAATGTGGTAATAATAACACCTACACTGTACAGCAATAATAGGTAACATTTTTGAACTCTTACTCTGTGTCAGGCACTATGCCACATGCTCACAAAGATTGTTTCACCTCAAGGTTACAACAACCCTATGAAGTATGTACTCTCATTGACTCATTTAGAAGAGGAAACTGAGGTACAGTGAGGTAAACTAATTTGTCTGTGGGTCACATGACTGATAAAGGGTGGAGATAGGACTTGAATCAGGCAATCTGACTCAGAACCTACTTCAGCAATTGAAATTTATTGAGTGCTTATTGGAATGTGGGTACAAAATAAGTTCACTTATTCTTCACAACCAACCACTCTATGAGGCAGATGACAGTATTTCCAGCTTGCAGGTGAGGAAATTGAAACTTAAGATGATTAAATTATCTGCCCATGATTACACAGTTAGTAAGTGGCAGGGTCCATGTTTCCAACCACTGTGCTATATCCATATTCTTCACTAAAGGGAATACATATCTATTGAACACTTATCATGCAACATGCACTTAGAATTATTTTCAACCAAACAAGCCCTTGTTATCATTCTTATTTGGATCTTGAAGAAACTGAGGATCAGAGAAATTAAGTGTTGTTCCTCAATCAAAGTCATACAGCTACTAAATAATAGAACCAAGAGCCCCACCCAGATGTATCTGACTTCAAAGTGTGGACTTCTTGCTACCATGTCACTGGCATGTTTCTTAATTTCACAGAGCTTGATCAAAATGGCTTTAGTACTTACTGACTCCACCTGAAATTATAATCCATAATAGTAAGTGCTGCTTGGACAGTATTTAAGGTATCACAGTGCTTTTCATGACTATCTTGGTTAATTCTCACAACAGACTTTTAAAGTAGTTATGACAATCTCTACCTTAGTCATGGAAAAACTGAGACTCAGAAATGTGACATACCAGCTTCTGAATGTTAGAGCCTAGATTAAAAAAAAAGATATCTCAGGGAAAATAATTTTTTCCACTATCACACTGCCTGCCATCTTTGATGGGGCCTACTGTCTTTGATATGGTGGCAGAATGGCTACGGCTGTTTTTGTGAGCAAATCATCAACATAAGTCATTTTCTGTGAGGTCTTTGCAAAGCCCTTTCAATAAGGCCAAGAATCACAGCAGTTTAACTTTCTATTCTATGCAGGATTTCTATTACAGCATCCCTGATAGAGGTGTCCCATCAGACTCCCTGAGATTCTTTAACTGGTAGGAAGCATTCTACTTCATGTTGCATTTTGAGGGACCCAGGGCACAAAAGCTGAAACAAATGTATCAGGTCCTATCTACATGAGCCACAGAAGGGGTCTGGAGCAGACCACCACCAACTTTGTTCCAAAGGCATTTATGAAACATCCATCTAACCTCTGATAAATTTCTCATTCTGCATGTCTGCTTGGCTGGAGGGAACCTGCAGAGAAAATAGCATAGAATGGTCATCAGTAGAATCGGGAATAGAGAGAAAGGGATGGATTGTGGATACGGAGGAGGTGACTAATGAGATATGTAGGGGGAGAGAGGGGAGAGACAGAATTTTTCCCAGGCTGTGAGTCCCAGTAAAGGCGGCTGAAATGAAAAAGAAAGAACCCTGGATTTTAACTCACTTTGTATATTTTTCATTTACTAGTGATATGACTTTTTTGCCTTGTTTCCTTCATCTGTAAAAATGAGGAAACCATGCCTCCCTCACAGGATCATTGTCAATCTTAGGTGAGGAGTCTTGGTATGGAGCTTAGCACATAATAAATAGTCAATTATTTTTCCACCTCTCTATGTCAAGTAAACTGGGAGGATGGTGGTGTCTCTATAGAGAAAGAATTCAGGAAGAAACGCTTGAAGGGTTTAGGGTGAGAAGGACATGAATGTTATTCCTGGAGGTGCCAGCTTCCTGGTGGAGATGTTCACAGGCATATGAAAATATGGGTAGGGATTCTGGAGAAGAAAGAAGACTCTAGATGGAAATGTGGAGGTCATTCACATGATGGTAAGAGTTGCAGGAGTAGAAGAAGCAAGGAGAATGCAGCTCAATGAGTATTCGTGGTGCATCTACTGTGGGCCCAGCCTTGTGCTAGATACAAAAAATACCCCAAGGACAATAGGCCTAGGACTTGTACATCAAAGTTCATAGTCTGCAGAAGAGACAAATATATAATTGCAATTATTATAATATGCACTTAAATATGTATGTATATTTAGAGTCCCTTCTTTGCCCCCAGAATCCCTACCATATTTCCAAATGCCTGCGGGATGTCTTTACCATGAAGCTGGCACCTTCAGGCAAACACATCCTGTCCTTCTCACCTCAATGTGTGTATGTGTGCATGCACACACACTTATGTGTGTCTATGATAAAAATACAATTTAGAGAAAGGAGTAATTGACACCTCACAATCCACACCCAGTCTATCTATAAATTCCTTAATTTCTACTTTCAAAATACATCCCAAATCTATCATATTCTTTCATGTCCATTCTTTATTCCTCACCTGGACATCAGCAATGCCCCTAATTGTTCTTCCTGAGTCCACTCCTGCTCCTCTAATCTGTGTTCTACATGGCAATAGAATGGTCTGCTGACCCGTTGATTAGACCAAGCACTGCCCTGTTGATGACCCTGCAGTGGTTTCTCTGCCACCACAGATACAGTCCATACTTCTTACTACGGCCAGTAAGACCCTCTGACACCTCTTGGCTTCTTCCAACCTCAGTTTCTGCTATTATTCCCCTATTCCGAGGCTTCTGCCACACATGCCTTCTTCCCCTTCACAAACACACCATGCTCTTTCCTCAGACAGGGCCTTTGTACAAGCTGTCCACTCACCCAGAGCACCTTCACCCTTGTCTTTGGCATCTCCTTATCCTTTGGATCTCATCTCAGTTTGGATTTCACTTCCTCAAACAGACATTCCCAGATCATCCCAAACTAAGTGAATATCTTCCCTCACCCCCTGAAGTTACTCTCTGTTTTTACAACTTGTTCATTTTCTAAATGGCTTTTATCACAATTCGCGATTATATATTGATCAATTAATTCACAAGTTATTAAGTCCCTACTATATTCTAGGAAATGAATATGCAGTAATAAACAAAAATGATTGGAATGAACATTCTAGAAACAGGAGATTGACAATAAACAAATAAATCTATGAGTATGGGGGCTACTGATTTGCTGAGAATTAAAATAGGGTGATATAACAAACAGAAACTTGACTACATGGTCAGGAAAGGTCTCTCTGAAAAGGTGATGCTTAAGGAGGCCCAAATGATAAGAATACTGCTATACACACATCAGAGGAAAGGGTGGTTCCGGCAAAGAAGACGGCTAATACAAAGACTCTAGACTATAGTAAGCTTGGAGTGCCAGAGAGTTACAGGAACAACAGTGATGACAACACCTGCAACAACAACAACAACAAAGAAAGAGAATAAGAGACCACCATACTCTTGCAGTATCCAGGTGAGAGACAATGGTGGCTTGGACAAGTGAGACAGTAATAGAGGGAGAACAGGTGATGCATATGCTTTAGAAGTAAAGTCAATATATCTCGCTGATGGGGCCAGGAAGTAAAAGAGGACCAAGTATGATATTTGGACTTTGGCTGTTTATTTTGTTTCCTCCACTGGATCGTAAGCTTTGCAAGAACAGTGACCATACTGATTTTGTTCTTTTCACATGTGATACTCATGTGGACATGGTTGAATGAATGAATGTATAAACAGATGAAACTATGGGAGAAGGGGTGGAGCAATATCAGAGCGGGTTTCACAGAGGTGGGGATGCCCCTACAAGGTTCAGAAGGATGAGCTGAAGTTTGTCAGGTTGGCAAGACAGGGAAGAGAGCATTGGGAGACGAGAGAACAGCATGTGCAAAGGAGGCCAGGAATATCCAGCTGAACAGAACAATGGCATTGAAGTACTTGACCTGTCCAACATATATTGGCAGCTTTGTAACCAGAGAAGTCAGAATGCGAAATACATTATTTCTCTTTTGTATACCTTGATACAAAGACAAATAATGACAGCTCCAAAGAAGGAATGAAGGAGGGGAAAAAAATCTAAATCTAGAAATTTAAGCCCCAAACCGTACTGATACCTGCGGAAGGTAGAAAGCTGTCAGTCACAGCCCTTGAGGAAATGTTAGGATCTCATTGAAGTCTAACGTCACCTCCCTAACATCCAAGACTTCCCTTGATTTTTGATGCATGGTTTCATGCTGTCTTTGGGGGAGAAGCATGTGATCTAAAGGGCACATTAGAAGAAAACAGCCTCGTGCATCCTCTGGAACGAACCCAGAGAGGATCTGAGCAAACCCAAGGACAAAAGATTCCCCCAGAGCAAACCAGTGAGTATGTTCACTTAAATCATTCCATGCCAAGCTCAGTCCTTTGCAGACATGAATGTTCACCACACAGGATGTCTCTTAGAAACAGCCACTTAATAGAATATAAATTAATAGCATATAGATCAAAGATACATAGAGAGAGAAAAAGACAGTGACAAAGAGGAAAGAGAAAAGGGAGAGAGAGAGAAAGGTACCTAGAAAGAAACGGAATGAGACCGAGGGGAAGAGAATAAGACAGAGAGAAAGCTATTAGATTGATACAAAAGTTGTGGTTTTTAATGGCAAAAACTTCAATTACTTTTGAACCAGCCCAATATAGCAAACATCAAAATGGAGAAAAGGTGTGTGTGATTCTGTTTGTCAAAAGGAAAGAAGGTAGATATTTTTGTTCTTTGTAGGTTAATATGTAAATGACATTCTGATTTATTAGCGGTCTCCAGCAGATGAGGTGATGATTAGCACATTTCCATATTTATAGAAAAGCAACACTAACTTTCCGGATTTATAGAAAATCAGCTCTTCACAAATAGCAAATTGTGCTATTATCGACATATGGTTTTCTATAAACAGAGCTGAGGTAATTATCCCTGGGACAATTTGTCGGTGGGCTCCTTTTGAATATTAACCACATTGGAAGCCCATTTCAGCCTCACAGATTTTAAAGAGGAGGGGCCACCAGATACCCCAGGCAATTAATTAGTAATCCAGCCCCAAAGACGGGAGCCCAAATGAAAGGCTATACCACAACCACATGGTGGAAGACTAGAGGTCCAGGGCTCTGACCCCAGATTCTGGCAGGCCTGGACTAAGTAATTAGCCTCTCTAATGAGCCACAGCGTTTATGTAGCTAAAACTTGGACAACACCGATCTCTAAATGGTGTCAAGAAAATTAAATGAGAATATGTGCAATAGCCCCCGAAACTTAGTAGGTGCTCAACAAATGTTAACTCTTTTTTCCTTCCTCATGTTTTTGAATGATTCTTAAAAGACCCACTTGAGTAAAGTTTTTTAAATGCTTTTTTTACATTTTACATTTTTTACATCCATTGTAAGCTACTTATTTTGCATCATGACACGATACAAATATGCATGTTTTTATTTAACTGGAAAAGATTTATTGAAGTAATAATTTATCTTTAGTGCCTATAATCCACTATGATATTTTCTATTCTGTCCTTTGTTGTTGTTCAAAATTTTTCTTGTGATCCATATACATTGATTTTGAGTACTACAATTGGCTTACAACATGTTATTTGAAAAATACTGTAATGCAAGAGGGTAGGAACCATATTTAGATTTGTTCACCATCATATCCCTAGCACAAACACATAATGTATACTCATTAGAGCATTTGAATTTTTTTTAAATGAATATGTAGACGGATGAATTAATGAATGACTCTAGCCAGGAATCTAAATTAATGCTTCATCTCGAACTTCCTGTCTTGTTTTGAACACTATGTATTAACCCCTGTGTTGAGTGTTAAAGAGAGAAAAGTGGCAGGCATGATACTTTTTTCAAATATCTTGCTATCTGGATAAGGAAGATAATACTAACATTTGGAAATTTTTTTTATATACTTTAAGTTCTGGGATACATGTGCAGAATGTGCAGGTTTGTTACGTAGGTATACCCATGCCATGGTGGTTTGCTGCATCCATCAACCCGTCATCTACATTAGGTATTTCTCCTAATGCTATCCCTCCCCTAGCCCCCCATCCCCGACAGGCCCTGGTGTGTGATATTCTCCTTCCTGTATTCATGTGTTCTCATTGTTCAACTCCCACTTATGAGTGAGAACCTGTGGTGTTTGGTTTTCTGTTCCTGTGTTAGTTTGCTGAGAATGATGGTTTCCAGTTTCACCCATGTCCCTGCAAAGGACATGAACTCATCCTTTTTTGTGGCTGCATAGTATTCCGTGGTGTATATGTGCCACATTTTCTTTATCCAGTCTATTATTGAGGGACATTTGATTTGGTTACAAGGCTTTGTTATTGTGAATGCTGCTGCAGTAAACCTACATGTGCATCTGTCTTTATAGTAGAATAATTTATAATCCTTTGGATGGGAGAAAAATTTTGCAATCTATCCATCTGACAAAGGGCTAATATCCAGAATCTGCAAGGAAATTAAACAAATTTACAAGAATAAAGCAATTCCATCAAAAAGTGAGCAAAGGATATGAACAGACATTTCTCAAAAGAAGACATTTATGTGGCCAACAAGCATATGAAAAAAAGCTCATCATCACTGGTCATTAGAGAAATGCAAATCAAAACCACAATGAGATACCATCTCATGCCAGTTACAATGGTAATCATTAAAAAGTCAGGAAACAACAAATGCTGGAGAGGATGTGGAGAAACAGGAATGCTTTTACCCCGTTGGTGGGAGTGTACATTAGTTTAGCCATTGTGGAAAATAGTGTGTCAATTCCTCAAGGATCTAGAACCAGAAGTACCACTTGACCCAGCAATCCCATTACTGGAAAATTGTTTTTTAAAGACTACCTAGTGTGGAATTTTATGTATGTGTTGAAGAAAAGGAGTAGCCAGCCTGGGATGATGCAGTCAAGGAAACTTCTTAAAGCTGGGAATTTGAACTTGGCTTTGCAATATGGATAGATCTCTTATCCTTCCTCTCACTCATTGAACAGGTCAGTGGTTCTCAAACTGTAGTAGCATCAGAATCACCTGGTGAACATGTTAAAACACAGACAGCTGGACCCATTCCCAGTTTTTGATTTAGTTAGATTTGGGATGGAGACCTGAGAATTTACATTGCCAGCAAGTTCCCAGGTGATGCTATGCTGACTGTTGGGGCCCACACTTTGAGAACCACCGTTCTCCTAGGTTGGAGTAACATCATTAATGTGGTCGATGCTAATAGTCTTTATTCTTAGCCATTCAAGATATTAAGCAAGGAAGTGATATAATCAGATCTGTGAAGTAGAAAGATCCATCCAATTATCGACAATAGGTTGGAAGAGGTGAGCCCACCCCCAGAGACCATTTAGGAGCTGATGCAGTAACAAGGGAAAGATGAGACCCCAGCATACCTCAGTAGGAGTGGAGATGGAGGAGAGTGGAAGAATGAGAGAGAACTGAAGCACCTTAGAGATCTACCGGAGTGAAGGAGAAGGAGGAGTCTGAGATGAATGTAAGTTTCTAGCTTCACTGACTGTGTGGTAGTTCCATTAACCAATAATACTACATTTAAAACAGGTTTTCACATTTTAAATAACAAAATCCCCCCAATTATTTTTTTAAATAAAAGTAACTATGATGCAATAAGAAGCATATAGTTTTAGGGGGCTAGACAAGTCTGAGCTCAAATCCTGTTTGTGGTACTTATTAGCAAGTCTCACTCTTCTGGATCTCAGTTCCTTGGGAGTAATAATACTTATGCTATCCTATAGAGTTGTCCTAAAAACTAAATGAGATCACCCATGGCTCATAGTCAGTGCTTAGAAAACTTCAAACCATGACCTGGTGTCTGTGTTGACTACTGTGTACATAGAGCTTCTGCTTTACTTACCAAGGGATTCCATTTTTGCTTTGTCAATCACCAGGATATATTCATAAATGCCACCCATGGATCCAGATGTGATGTAATGGGTGCCATAGTCATTGATGAACTTGGCATACATGCCATAATTGTACTGATCTGGAAGCTCCATTAATGACTGCAGCATTCCTTCATCCAGCATAATGTCATCCTTCCTCATCTTAAAATGTGCAGTCTGCACCTTTGTGAAGATTCTTGTGAAAATGAATTTCTGCCAGCAACCGCCATTGAATAAAGCAAAAGAACAAAGAGAGCATATATTTTACCATTAGAAATAATGCAAAAGGTCTCTGGGTGCAGTGGCTCATGCCTGTAATCCCAGCATTTTGGGAGGCAGAAGCTGGAGGATCACAAGGTCAGGAGATCGAGACCATCCTGGCTAACATGGTGAAACCCCGTCTCTACTAAAAATACAAAAATTAGCTGGGCATGGTGGTGCATGCCTGTAATCCCAGCTACTCGGGAAGCTGAGGCAGGAGAATCGCTTGAACCAGGGAGTCAGAGGTTGCGGTGAGCCGAGATCGCTCCAGCCTGGCAATAGAGCAAGACTCCGCCTCAAAAAAAAAAACAAACAAAAAAAAACAAAAAAGAAAGGATGCAAAAGGTCAGCTTTTAGTAGCTGTAAGAAATATATATATGTATTTACGTAAATATATATTTAAATAAATATATATTTACGGAAATATATATATATTTACTTAAATATATATTTAAATATATATTTAAATAAATATATATTTATTTAAATATATATTTAAATAAATATAAATATATATTTACATAAATATATATTTATGTAAATATATATTTAAATAAATATATTTATGTAAATATATATAAATATATATTTATGTAAATATATATTTATATATAAACACGTATATGAACATAAATACATGTAATTGGAGTACTACTATATTTCACAAGCACATACTAGGCACCAATGTGTGCCAGACTTCCCCCACACCTCCATCTCTGTTCCCATTGCCCCTGCCTAGGTCAAGTTCTCATCAGCTCTCACCTGGGTGAGCTACTACAATGGTTTCTTCATTGTGCTTCACCCTTCTGTTCTTCTCCCAATCTATTCCCACCCCCACACTTCTCCTAGTGCTAATCAAAGCACTGCATTGTGAAACCTCCTATGCTAATATTACATATCCATTAAAAACTGTGTTTAAGATATCTTTAGTGACATGCTGAAATGTCATTCAATTGAAGTTATTGAGCAAAGATCTACAATGCCTATAGTAGAATGCATTACACTAGGTGCAGAGGACATAATCTTGAATGAGATAGGCTCCTGCCCCCATGGAGTTTACATTCCAATAGTAATCTTGAACTAAGTAATAAAGAAAAGCAGCATCTTTATATAAAAAAATAAGAGATAGCACTGGAAGAATTTTGGATTGGTTTTACAGGAAGATGGCCATCTATGGGCTTTACTTTCAGGCAATAGAAGCCTTGATTCAAAGTGATGATGGAAGTTAGAGGAGTCCACATGCTTTTAGAAAAGTCCATATTAACACGCTACAGATAACCCTTGAACAATATAGGACTTTACCTTCAGCTCAATAGCTAATTCTTTGGCAAAGCTCTAGGACTCAATTTATGTGTGTTGAGTAAGTTGATTTTTATAACTATATTTTCATCATTCAAGATAATTTTTGAACCCCACCTTGATCCATAGTCTTGGTATTAATGCAATTGAGAATTTTTAGTAAGCTTCTAATTAATTCAATAAATATTCCCCTGGCCACCTGATTACATCTCCAACCTCATCACTCTCTGTTTTCCTTTCCCACCCTGTGCTTCAGCTGGCTGAAGTACTTTCAATCCCAAGTTTTTGTGTGGCTTCCTCATCTCCAGGCCCTCGCACATGCTGATTTCCATGCCTAGAGCACCTTTCTGCCAACTTTTGTCTCCCTTTGTCTGGACAATTTGCACTAATCTTTAGATCTAAGCTTAGATCAATGTTCTTTCCTCAAGGAAGCATATATTGACCCCCCAGGATAATAGGCACTTAATGGTGAAGGTTTACTGGAAAAATGAAATTTTTTTTTTTTTTTTTTTAGCATACCAGTCCTTCTATCTTTTTGGAAAAGCAAGGCTTGCTTTACAATTCTTCCAAGTGAAATTTAGAGGGTCTGGCTGTTTCTCTTAAAACATTACCATTCTACACATTTCCCTATATGCTCCAGGTAACCATAAAAAATGATGATGGGGGGGGCAAAGTGATAAGAGTCCTAGTCTTATCATTCAATTTTATTTCCTTTGTGATGATTCTGTGTGCAAAAGCGTAATAAGAAAAACAAACCTGATTACCACTGATCAGACATTTCCAATTACACAAGCAAATTAAGGTTCAATTACTACTGTACTTTTTAATGCAATTAAGGTAATACGTGTTCAGTGTATATTATGGAATACTGTGAGACACAGACATTATGTTTGAATACCTTCTCATTATACTTGTTTAATTCGTTCAAGAATGAAGTGTCTTGTGAGTGGGATACACCTACACCCACCAATAAAGGGCTGCCGGCTGGGCCTATGCCGATGGTCACTCCAAATGAGTCAGACTTGTCTTTTTTAACTTTGGAAAGAAGGTCATTTGCATTATCATAAAACTCTGAGGAGATTCCAGTATCTGCCAGGGCCTGAAAAAAAAAAGGATAGATATTAGCTTTGTGCACATAGAGCCATTTCTCAATTCATATTTAATACTTAAATCTTTGCTTTGTAAAATATCTAAAATTTTAGATTATGGTAGGTAATTCTTTTATAAGGCAATCCAGTCATTAGACTGATACTTATTAAAATATAGAAAACACAGCATTGTTAGTGTTTAGTGGTACTGATAAAATACTTATTTACACACCACATGTGCTTGCACACACACACACACACACACACAGATGCAGATGATTCTGATCAAATGCTATATTGCTCTGAGCGTGGATTTCTTTCTTGCTGGCTTATCCTTCCAGGAGAGAAGGCTGGCTGCTTGTCTTTGCAATAGTGAGATACAGAAAGCCACATCTGGGCAGGAGCCTGGGAGGAAAGAAGCAAAGGAAACCTGCAGATTTGGATTGTCTTAGGCAGTGGTATACAGGATTTCATTTCTCTGCTGTCTTGAACTGAGACATGGTCTTGGCCTTGTTTGAGCCAAAGAAGTAAGCCTTATGAGCCTGTGAGTAGTTTGCTCTGCAATCATGAGAGCATGTGTTGAAATGGAGCCTCCATTACCTTGAGTCCCTGAGTGTCTGTGATGGTCAGTTTCCTTTCTACTTTAGGGTGGACAAATAGCATAAGCAAGGTATTGTTGCTTCAGCTGCTGAGATTTGAGAATTCTTTGTTCCCAAAGCACTTAGTCCGTCTTGCCTGATACAGAGCCCCAAGACCTTCCTTGAGATTAGGAACATGGTGTTGTTTATGTCTTCCACCTTGATTTACCATTGGCCTGATAGAGAGTAGAGGTTGGAGTGGGGTTGGGGGAGCAAACTTCTTAAAAACAGGCCCTATAAGCTTGGCCTTATTTTCTGTCAGTATTTTGTTCAGAATCCTAGGATCCTACTATCTCTCTCTAGAAAGTGTATAATCTATCTCTTCTTCTAAATGTTGTGCAGCCTGGACTTAGTTCAGACAGATCTAGGTTTGGGTCTTGTCTTTGCCACCAACTGCAGTAGAGTTTGATCCTGACACTTTAACCCTTTGTGTTTCTTTTTCTTAATATCTAAAATGAGGCAATGATAATATCTATCCCATTGTGTTGTGAGGATTAAATGGGAGAATTTGTGTGAAAGTAGAAGATCTGACACATGTTAAGCATTCAATGATGTTCGCTGTGTGGATGTTTCACCCAAAGGATGAGTGGTAAGAAAATTAATGGCCATGAGTAGGCCCTTGACTGATCATGAGCTCCAAGTGACCAAGAGACCACCAAATTGTAGAGATGGAGAGAGTCTTAGTGATCGTCAGCAATTTGCAAGCATTTTTGTACAGAAGAACCCTTGCTTCATACAAAATCACATACAAAGAGCCAAGACATGAAAATGATCAGTGTGAGCTGCCTTTGGTGAAACAAAAGCACAGGTCTCAGAATCCTGCTCATCTATGCCCTGTCCTCCCCCACACTCTACAGATTAGAAAACTGGGCCCAAGGAGGGCAGTGAGTTAGCTGCTAACAGTCTTGTATATAGTCTAACAGAGCCACAACTTAGAAATAGGTTGTCTGATTGGCAGCCCAGATAATAGAGCCTCAGATCTATTTTACTGATTTTGGAATGGAGCCAAGATTTAACAGGTGGGTAGCCACATTTATGATCTGCCTCTCAGCACCCTTCGACACTAAGCATGTGTGGGGATGGGTATGAAGGAGACTTCAGACACCAGCAAACTTTATAGAAAACAAAAGCTTCCAGAGCAAGTCATCTCCACAAATAGGCCTCTGCCTCTCTGCCACCTACACCACAGTGGCCTCAGAGCCCCTCTGTTCAGACTTACTTCAAAGTGGTACTTCAGAAAGTTGTAGGGTTTCCGAAAGTATTTCTCATCATCTCCATAGTAGAGACGTTCACAGGTGGAGTCATATCGAAGCTCCCTCCATTCCCCATTGTATACCGTCTCACACTGGCCCCCATAATAACTGGCATCGTACACACTCTGAGCATCTTCCTGGGTCAGGATATTGTACCTACATGGAACAAAGCAGCTTCTAAATAGCTAGTGGATGCTGGGTTTTATACCTGGGTGATGGGATGATCTGTATATTAAACCACCATGGCACACGTTTACCTATGTGACAAACCTGCACATCCTGCGCATGTACCCCTGAACTTAAAATAAAAGTTGGAAATTAAAAAGCAAAAGCAAAAGCAGCTTTTAGGAGAGAGAATTAGAAAAGCAAGGTAGCATATAATGTCATCTTCTGAAAGATGTTGTAGCTGGTACAAGTAACAGTTTCTCAATCTATGTTCTGTGGAGCCCTGGGGTTCCTCCAAGAAGCTTATGGGCCACTTTAGGTAACACTTGGAGACTAAATGGGCTGGCCTGAGCCTTCAGATTTCCTTTACCCAGATCATCTAGACAGTCCTATTTAGCATCTAGAATCATATTCCCACATGGGAAGCAGCCCTAAATATTTGTTGAATAAGTTAGAGAAGAATATGTGCAATTATCATGAATCCAAGGGCAGCAGCCAGACAGTCTGGGCCCATTTCCCATCTCTGCCACATCTAGCTGTGTGACCTCAGGCATACCATTTAACCTCTCTGTGCCTCGGTTTAGTCATTTGTAAAAAGCAGTTCTTAAATACTACTGCCCTCATAGAGTTAAATGAGTTGAAACATGTAAAGAAATCATAATTGTGCTCAGCATACATTAAGGACTGAATAAAGGTTGCTATTGTAGCAATTGTTAGTATTAAGTATAATTCTTAGTATAGTATAAGGGCTCTGCTGCTACAAAAAAAAACTTTGAAATATTGGATGCAATTCATAGTGCTAAGGTTGAGACTCTAATCCTCAGAAAGGCCATTATCTTTGAGGCAGCATGGGACATTGGAGGGTGCACAGTTCAAAAGTCAGGGAGACTCCTGTTTAATTTCCAGCTTTGCCACTTACTAGCTGTATGACTTTGAACACAGTCTAGAAGCTCTCTGCATTTCATTTTCCTCATTTAAAGAATAGACATAATAATACCTACCTCTCATGGTTTTTGTGATGCTGAGAGTATGAAACTAAAACAGCAGTAAAGTACATATTAGGCATTCAACAAATTATACTTACTTTTCCCTAGCCCAACACTCTTCCAGAAATATTTCTCTATACTTTCCTTTCTAGAGTATTTAAAAATCATCAACCCGGGTTCCATGTTTTAGGATATGGATGGTTTTACCATATTCAGGTAAAATAATGTCAAGCAGATGAAATACAGCTTTAATTTTCTAAAAAGGGAAAGTTAACAGAACAAAAACTGTAGAGTTGGCTAAGAGTTCTAAGACCTGACAATCAAAGCCTCTTATGTTGCAGATAATGTAGTTATTGCTCGTTTTTTGTCTCTCAAACTCCTATTTAACCTTAAGGAGCCAACTCAAATGTTGCCTTCTGTCAACAGCCTTCTTTGAATGCTCTGGAAAGACTGCTGTTTCCTCCTCTGTGTTCCCAAGGGATGCAGTGACTACCTGTAGCATAGCGATCGTCATGATTGTTTATGGCCTCTGTGAAAAGGCACAAGGCAGGAAAGGAGCAGGGGATAAACTGCGAATAAAACCCACTTCAAAGGAATAAGTGGATAATTATAGAGCACCTGGCAGATTGTAGAAATTCAATGTATGTTAACTTCCTTTTTCTCTTTCTTTCTCCTTCTCTTTCTTCATATTAGTGGAAGTGATGTAATAATAACTACAGTAAATTGAATACATACTCTACTAGACGTTTAGCTTTCAACCTCACGACAACTTTGCAAATGCAGAAATTGAAGTTCAGAAAAATTAAATAACTTGTCTCTAGTCATAGCTGGATTTTTTCCTAGATTTTGTTGATAGTAAAATCTGGGTTCCTTCCCTTTACTTTCCCTGAAGTTTCTATCTTCCTGACCATTGAACATGTTTCTGCCTGTAGCTTATAAATACAGCCTCTTAATAGACTGAACAAAACTCAAAGAAACGGTAATCCCTAAGAGTATAATATAACCTCTAAGCATAAAGCCTATATATATTTGGAAAAGCTGGTTGTGAAAGCCCCAGTTAAAAGGGAAAGGTGTAGTCAAAGAAGTTCTACTTTTTGGAAATCTACTATGCAGAAATATCCACACATGTGTACAAAACTATGTGTACAAGAATGTTCATTGCAGCATTTTTGTAAGAGGAAAATATGGGAAATAATCTAATTCTCTTTCAATAGGAAGTAGTCAAATAATTATATAATTATACTATAGATGAGGAGTTGGAAATTTTTTTTTAATAAAGAGCCAGATAGTAAATGCTTTAGGCTTTGCAGGTCACAGGGCTGTGTTGCAACTACTCAACTCTGTCATCGCAGGGTAAAAGCTGTATTTCAATAAAACTTTATTTGTAAGAATAGCCGGCTGAATTTGGCCTTCAGGCCATAGTTTGCTAACTATGTTATAGAAGAATATGCTGCTTATTAAAAAGAGATAGAAAATTTGGGGGAAAACTTAAAACTCTACTATTAAGTATAAAAGTGAAAGTTGCAGACAATATGTATAGCATGATCACATTTATGTAAAATATACCTGTGTCTATAATGCCCAGTACACATAGGTATATTTTCTATATAATGCATATTGTCAATGCAGTTTTTACATAATCTGGAAGTATCTCCACCAAACTGTTAACAGGGGTCAGCTCTAGGGAGGGAAGGGAGAGAGGGCTGTTGGACGGAGTGCAGGTAAGAGAAGATGGAAGAAAACTGTCAATTTTTATTTCAAACATGTATTACTTCTCTAACAATAAATAAAAATTTTAATCTGGGAAATGCTTAAATTAGAAAAAAAATAAGAGCAAGAAAGGAAGGCCTTTGAGATCTGAGATAAATAGAAGAACCATCAAACATCAGTGGCTGGAGTGGAGCAGGACCATTTTACCAGTTTCAGTATTCAGTGTGGGTGAAGCACACTGTTCAGAAAGCGTATTTGAAATGTTTCTAGTTAAATCACGTGGGAGAAGATCCATGTTCTGCCAATAAGGAAGGGATTATTTTTCATTTCAACATGTCAATATTTCACACTTCTATTGTTTACTCTATAGTCACTTTTGAAATCAACAAGAATCCCCTTTTATTGATGTTACGGGCTGGATTACATGTCCCCAACATTCATGTGTTGAAATTGTAACTCCCAAAGCCTCAGAGTGTGAGTATATTTGGAGACGGAGTCCTTAATGGGGTAATTAAGCTGCAATGAGGTCATTATGGTGGGCTGTTATCCAATGTGAGTGGTGTTCTTACAGGAAGGGGAAATTAGGACACAGATATGTACGAGGGAAGAACATGTGCAGACACAGGAAGAAGGCAGCCATCAACAAGCCAGGGAGAGAGGCCTCAGAAGAAACCACTCTGCTGACACCCTGACTTCAGACTTCTAGTCTCCAGAATTGTGAGAAAGTAAATTTCTGCTGTTTAAGCCACTCAGGATGTGGTGTTTTGTTATGGCAATCCCAGCAAACTAATACTGCTGGTATGAAAGAAAACAGAATTTTCTCATCTTTTTATATGTGTATATCTACATGCACTTACAGAGTTCAATTCCATCAAGTAGGTGGGCTCTGATCTCAGAGCAATTAACCATAATGAATGAGGGCTGCATTTCATGGAACCCCCACTTGTCCTTGGGTGGGCTGCAACAGGGCTGGGTCACTCTGTGACAGTTACTACATCTCCTCATTTCCTTATTTGTAAAGATCCAGCTGATCATATTGATTTGTTTCAATTCAACCAACACTCAGCGAGAGGCTATAGGACAAGCTCTGACACAGGGGCTGAGGAGATGAAAAAGCTGAGTCAGAAGCAACCTCTGCCCTCAAAGAGTTTATTCAAGTTAGGAGACAAGACCCTAGGCAAAGACAGAGTGGCAGAGGACTAACAATACTGGAACGTCATTCTGAGCTAAGCCCTGTTCCGGTACTGGAGAAGCAGAGATGACAAGGAGCCCCTAGCCTGGGCAGATAGACACCTCGACAGACATCCCCAGCCTATTGGGTAAGAGCTGTGAGAATAAGACTTGCAGGAGTCTCTGGGAGCAATGGGAGGGGACTAAGTCAACCTAGGCAAAGTCAAGAGCAGGGGAGGGGGCTGTTACAAAGACTACCTAGGGGAGATGGTACCTCGGTGTACTAGTCTGCAGGGGCTGCCACAACAAAATACCATAGACTAGGTGCCCTACACAACAGAAGTTTATTTTCTCATGGTTCTGGAGGCTAGGAGTCCAAGATCAAGGTGTTATCAAGGTTGTTTTCTGCTGGAGGCTCTCTTCCTGTCTCAAAGACAGCCGCCTTTTCGCTGTGTCCTCACATGTCTCATTGGCTATGCATGTGTGGAAAGAGAGAGATCGCTGGTATATCTTTGTCTTCTTATAAAGCCACCAGTCCTCTTGAATTAGGGTCCTACCCTATGACCTCATTTAACCTTAATTACCTCTCTAAAATCCCTATTTCCTAATTCAGTCACATTGGGAGTTAGAGCTTCAACACATAAATGTGGGGGTAAGGGGAGACAAAATTCAGTGCAGAACATTAGATGAGGAGTTACCCAGGTAGGAATTCGGGAAAGAATATTCCAGGAATATTGATTAAGGCTCAGAAGGAAAGAGTGTGATGCATTCAAGGAACTGACCCTGAACATAAGGTGAATGAAGAGAAGTTAGAATCAAGGCTGATTTCATCTCAACAGATAAAGAAACTGTGCCCTGAGAGGTTTAAGTAAGCAATGGGAAAGTGGGGGTTAAAGCCCCTCTCTGTCTCACCCTGAGCCCATTTTCTTTACACTGTGTCACACCATTAGCCCTGGTTATTGCAAGCATCTACAGTGCAAAGCAGATTGGGAACAGGGCTATTGGAAAGGCAACGGCTTAGATCAGAGAAGAGCTATCTTTCTGAGACATCAGGAAGGCTTCATGGAAGCTGTGGCTTCTTAAATGGGCCTTAGAAATGGCACTGGGGTGAAGGGAGATGAGCAGTAGGGTAGGTGTACTAAAAGAGAGGAGAACTCTCAAGCAGAGACATGAGGGGAGAGCATGGGCAGTGTCACATAGGCAGGACTGGACAAGCCATCTCTGGGGACAATGAGAGCAGCTCACAGCATGCACTCCAGAGGAACCCTCCAAAATGGCCCCCTTCTGTCCTCAAAACTAATGCTCACGATTGAAGACAAATCATTCCCTGCTCCTAAATAGCTAGTAGGCAGGGCCTCACCCCAAGGCTGCCTTCTGTGATCCTGGAATTGGTTCATACTGGCTGCAGTCTTCGTCAATGGCCCTGACATCTTCACAGTCGTCCTCATCAGAGCCATCAAGGCAGTCCTGGTCTCCATTACACACAAGGTGGCGTTTCAGGCAGCGACCTGGAGAGAAGAGACTGTGGCTGCTCCTCGGGTTCCCCTCTCCCTCCAGACTCACACCCACAATCAGTAAGTCCTTTCTTCCTCAGAAATAAACCTCCCATCTGTCCCATTCTCTTTCTGTTCTCACTGCCTCTGCCTTCCTTCCAGCCTAATGAGCTCCTGTCTGCAGCCTCCCAGCTTGGGCATTGCCTGAGTTTCTCTCTCTCTAATTCTCCACATTGCAGCCCCCAGTAATCTTTCTAAAATGCCAGTCTGCCCATGTAATCCCCTTGCTCAGTATCCTCCAGTGGTTCTCCATTCCTCTTCTTCCAAATGCCACAGTCTGGACCCTACCTGCCCATCACCTACCTACCCATCACCTACCTCTCTTCCAAAAGCCCTGATGCTGCAAACATTCTGGGCTGATTGGGAGTCTCTGATCCCCATGCTTTTGCATGTTCTTTCTCCTAGAAAGTTCCATTTTGTTTCCCAAGTCTCTACTCAAATACCATTTCAAAGCCCACCCAGACTGCCCAAAGCAGATTTGGGAACCTCCTGCTAGAAAGACCCACTAGGCCATGCATGTGCCCATGGCTATCACACAGTGTTGTAATTAACTCTTCCTAGGTCTCTAGACTAGGAGTACATCAAGGTAAGGTGCATTATTTTTTTCATGTCTATATTAACAGCAGATAGCATACTTCCTGGCACATAATATGTGGTCAATAATATTTGTTCAATGAGTGGGTGAATGAATGAATTGTCTTTTTCTAAATGAATCAACAGATGTTCCTACAAAGTTGAATCAAAATTACTTGGGCTGCTGGCTTGGCTTAAAATGCAGATTCCTAGGACCCATCCCAAACCTAGAGAATGGCAACCTCGAGAGGAAGGGCTCAGGAGTATGCATTTTAATAAGCTCCCTGGGGAAGTGTTTCACATGTCACTTTTGACAGGCACAGCTGTTATTCTGCTGAAATGCTACTCACCTGTCTCCTTACACTGGAAATCCTGTCCACACTGTGCTTGCCTTACACAAGTTGTAGAACTGGAGCAGCTGGCTTGATCCCAGATGTCACCACTGCAGATGGTTCCCCCAAACTTGTTTGGCTGCAAGAGGCTCCGGTGTCGGTACTAAACCAGATTTTGAACAAGACACATTCTTGTCAACCAATCAATCAATCAACCAAGACTTGTGCAGCCTGGTTTCGGCTCAACATAAGAAATAATTATCTAATGATTGAGACCTGCCTGTGAAGCTGTCTTTTGAGGGATGAATATGCATAAACAGTGGTGTATCACCAGAAGTGGCACAATCACTGATTGGAACGTTGAATAGGGCCTCCAAGCATCAAATGAAAGGCCTGGACAAGATATTTCTAGGGTCTTCCTACTTGCTAGGAATAACCTCTGTTCCCTCTTCTTGAAGAAGTTAAATTCCTATTAATCTTTCAGTAACATTCTTCAAGTTGCTCGCTTCCCTGTCTACTAGCACTTGGCATATGAAGTTGCAATTGAGCATCCACGTAGTTCTCCATCTCTCCCACCAGACTGTGAGCAATTTTCATATTGAGGGTAGAGAAGAGAGGACCATGTCTTATTTGGCTTCATACACTTGGCACTTGATCTAAGGTCAGGTACTCAAGAGGCACGTTCAGAAGACATCTGTTGCTTTTTCTTTGCAACATTTCTTCTGGTCCTGGAATTCCCCTCTTTCTTTGGAGATATATCTCCTATAGTTAAGGTGGGAAAGGACTCACTTCCTCAGTCACAGGGATGTGTGGGTATGAACCAGGCCTGGTTCACCAAAGCATCACATCTGCCTAGTTGTTGTAATCATTGCTTCAAGGATTGGCACATGACTCAACCCCATCCAATCAAGTTCTCTCTGGGGATTTTCTTTTACAAAGAGACAGATTCTTTCTCCTGGAATTGTTGGAAACTGTGGACATCAAGTTGTAGATGCCTTGCCTATTATGCAGAAAGCACCCATCCAAGAGATAGAGAGAGAAAGAGAGCTCTGAAGACATCATCTGAGTCCCTGGGTCCACCTTTGACTGCAGATAAATAGACACTTGACAGAAGGAAGGAATTAAAATGCACGCCAATCTTGGGACTTTAGAGTTTCATAATCATGCTTTCTATATAGTGTACAGTGTCAGGCACTAGCGTAGAAGAAGGAAGCTGAAAACTAGGATATCCAGAGAAACATGAGGTTCTATCCCTGCCTTCAAGAAGCGTAGACCCTAGTTGAGGACATAAAATGTGTAATAATACAAAACATGCAGTGCAGATAGCAAACACACAGTGGCCGACAAGGAAACGTGCAGCCCTGTATTTCCTGGTGCCTCTCTCCCTGGCTCAGTCCACGGGCCCTTCCTTTAAGAACGTTAGTATGTAGGTAAGAAAGCAATGATTTGAGCAGCAAGAGAAGTGGGTTTCCTACCTCAATCAATTTCTTACTTGCTGTGTGAAGTATCAGTGTCTGGTACTTTGTGGCTCAGTTTCTAAATCTGTGCAATGAGGTGGGTGAGCTAAATGACTTACCTAATTATAGTGACTAATATCCTTTCACCTGTGTCCTGCAGTTGACAGAGCATGGACATGAGGATTAGACAGACTTGGGTTCAGGGCCCAGATTTTCTTACCAACTGCCCATGAGCAAGCCACTTCCCTTTTCTGAGCTTCTGTCTTCCAGTGTGTGAAATGGGTGTAATGGCATTTTCCCTTGAAAGGACTGTGTGAGCTCTGAGTAAGAGAATGTGTAAAGAAGCCCCCAGCCCTGTTTCTGGTATATTATTGGTGTTCAATAAGCAGAGGTGGTTTTCACATTGTTACTGTTATCCGTGCAGTATTTCCAGGTGATTCCATGGGTGAGTTGTGGAGCAGTGCAGCTCACTTCTCTTCTTACCCACCTCTGTCTCCTTAGCTGCTCATTAACAAAGTGGCAAAGGTAGCAAGGAGAGGTGAAGATCAAACCTGTCCATAGGTCTGTCCTGCCTTTCAGTTAATAACAGCAGTAAGAGATTTGTAAACTCTGTAGGAAGAGATTGTAATTAATGACCAGTTGGAGAACATCAGTATATTTTAATATCCCACCCACACTCTTGCCCCTCAGCACAGCAAATAAAGGAGTGATCAGCATAGAAATGTAGAGCCAATTTTCTTTCTTTCTTTTTTTTTTCCTCTCTTTATGTCAGTTTATTTCTGGATGTGCCTTCCAAGAACACTGGTTTATCTGTTACTTCCTCTGTTCCAAAGTGTTTAGTCATTCCCACTCTTTGAAGTGTAACTGCTATCCACATTAAATACATTTCTATAATTTCCTTACATGAAACTATGACTTCAGCCAAATATATCTTGCTCATTGTTCCTAAACATACTATGTTTATTCCTGGCTGTAGACTCTTGTTCATGGTTTTTCTTCTTAGAATGACTTCTCATCTCACTTTCAAATTTTTCCTTCCTTTAAAATATAGCTTAGAGCCTGTTTTCCACCATGAGGTCTTTTAAGACTGTTCACCCTTTTTCCCACAATTCATACCCTAAAGGTTTGACTTTCTTTTAAACTCATATAGATCTTATTGTCTTCATTTTCTACTTGAATTAAGATATATTATCTTAAATTTTTTTCTGTATTTTTCCTTTATCATCAACTAATGTTACATGTTATTTGAAGGAAAGCATCTCAGACTTTTTAACATGGCCAGCACTGAGTAGATATCCAGTCAATGTCATAATGAGAATGGAATATCTAACAAGGACATTATGCATGGCATAGTGCTCTCCAACTCAGACGACTGTTTGCCATTACATGACATCTATTTTGATTACAGCTTTTTATTATGAATATGTTGTGCTTATAATTCCACTTCATTGAGAATGAGGTTGGGAGTGAATTGTAAAGGTATTTATCCAAGGTCCAAAGAAAGAAAATATTGCTGCTTGGAATATTGCAGTTAGGTCATTCTAAACTACATTTTTGCTTCTTTGACAAAAGGGCAAATTTGAGCCTGAAACTTGGTGCCAGGATACCTTAGCATATCTGTTGTACATGTTATGGGGTGATGAGTTCACAGTTAAATAAGCAACAGGGATCTGGTACATGCCACTGTTCTGCAGTGCTTTCATGGTGACTTATAGGAACAGATTTAATATAGTTTAGTAACAGCTTGAGCTTCTCCAAACAAATAACACATAATGTTATTCGAAATCAGACACAGTAGGTACTTGCCTCTGAGTACTCCTTCTTTGAATTAGCAGCCAATCTTCTTTCTTACTCTAAAAATTATATTCGATTTTTAACACCTGTACCTACCAACTTGATAATGGTTATGGTGGCTACCATGTACTGAGTGCCTACTCTTGGCCAAACACTTTACATTCCTTATCTTATTTAATCTTCACAAGTTTATGAAGTTAAATATACTATGGGAAACCCATTTTGAGCTGAGTTAGAATTCCAGCTCTGCCACCTACTGTATATGCATCACTGGGTCAACTACTTAACATCTCTGATCCTGTTTTCTCATTTTTAAATGAAATATGTCTGAGAACATTGCAAAGATTCATCATAACACATGTAAAGAAATCATCAATTTGCCTGGTTTCTGATATACACTCAATAATAGTAGTTATCAATGTCATCATCATTCTTGTATCCAGCTGTTGGACTACTTCAAAAGGAATTGAAGTGACCACTTATGTCACTCATTACTCTCCTGGATGGTTCAGCGGGAGGCAGTAGTGTGGAGCGGTCAGCCGCGGAAGCTTTTTGGAGTCAACTGACCAAGTTTTAAATCAAGGCTCTGTCATGTTCTTAATGGGTGACCTAAACAAAGTGGATGATGATGTCTGTCATTTACAGTTGGCTGTGAAAGTCAAACAAGATAATTTTTTAAGGCATTTGCACAATTGTCTGGTACCTAGAAATTATTTAATAAATGGTGACTATTGCCATTGTCATCCTTCCTATAGTATCTATACTGGGAATTATGGTGCAAGCCATAAGGTTCATTCCCATTGATTCCCTATTTTCTAGGTTGCTATCAAATAATGAAGATATTTGTGTGGCAGGAAGGTTGGTGCCAATATTCCCTTAGGGACTTCTCCATGCTATTGCCTGTGGTTGGGATCATTAAGACATAATTTTCTTTTCTAACTGGTAGATAATGTTTCCTTCCATAAATGTACATCTTTGTTTGGATGATTTTGAGAAGAAGAAACATATTAATAAAAAAAACTAGGGTGGTCTTTCACCTAATTAACAGAATTAATTATTTTAAGGGTTACTTTAAAAACGCACGTGTTTTTGAGTCAGTAAGGAAATAATTCTATTCTGATTTAAACTGCAAGTCATTGTCTTGTGGTACCTGCTGTCTAAACTGAAATAAATACGAAAAATTTAATTTAGGATATATAACAGGTTGAATAATGGCCACACAAAGATATCAAGTCCTAATTTATGGAACCTGTAAACGTTACCTTATTTGGAAAGCCGGCCATTGCAGACATTATTAAAGTTTCTGAGATGAGGATATTACCCTGGATTGTCTGGATAGCACTAAGTGTCATCACAGTGTCTTTGTAAGAAGAAGGCAGAGAGAGATTACAGGCAGATACACAGAGGAGAAGACACACAGATGAGGCAGCAACGTGACCAGGGAGGCAGAGACTGCAGTGATCCAGCCACAAGGTAAGGATTGTCAATGCCACCAAAAGCTGGAAGAGGCAAATATTAGGTTGCTGCAAAAGTAATTGCAGTTTTTGCTGTTACTTGATATGCCAAAACTGCAATTACTTTTGCACCAACCTAGTAACAGAGTCCCTTCTAGCGCCTCTAAGAGGGAGCATGGCTCTGCTGATACCTGGATTTCAGACTTCTGGCCTCCAGAACTGTAAGAGAATACATTTCTGTTGTTTTAAGCCACCAAGTTTGTGGGAATTTGTTCCAGTGAACTCAAGAAACTAATACAGGATGTCAGAGCAAAATGAGCACGTAGGGATCAGACACATTTAAACAGGAACAGTCTAAGATTCTTCAGCACTTCTCAGAGATGAGAGAGGCAGAATAACAAATTTCAGGCTTTGATGTTGAATGAACTAGGTCAAAATTGTGTGTGTTTCTGCCACTTACTAGCTATGCAATTTTGAATAACTCATCAGGAACATTCCCAGAGCACCTCACTAACTGAGTGGTGGGTCTGGAGGCAGGATGACCATTCACAAACCCTGCAAGAACTCAGGTGAGAGAAAAGCAGGGATTAATTCAAGGCAATCGGACTGAGAATGAAGAGGAAAGCACAGATAATTATTAAAAAACAGCTGGCATTCCACAAATTAAAACTGTAATGAGATATCACCTTACTCCTGAAAGAATGGCCATAATTAAAAAATCAAAACATAATAGATGTTGACATGGATGTGGTGAAAAGGGAACAGTTTTACACTACTGGTGGCAATATAAACTAGTACAACCATTATGGAAAACAGTGTGGAGATTTCTTAAATAACTAGAACTACCATTCAATCTAGCAATCTCACTACTGGGTATCTACCTAAGCGGAAAAAAAGGTCATTATATACAAAAGAGACTGTAATACATGTTTATAGCAGCACAATTCACAATTGCAAAACTATGGAAACAACCCAAATGCCCATCAACCAACGAGTGGATAAAGAAAATGTGGTACATATACACCATGGAATACTACTCAACCATAAAATGGAATGAAATTAATGGTCTTTGCAGCAACTTGGATGGACATGGAGGCCATTATTGTAAGTGAAGTAACTCAGGAATTAAAAACCAAGTATCACATCTTCTCACTTATAAGTGGGAGCTAAGCTATGAGGATGCAAAAGCATAGGAATAATATAATGGACTTTGGGGACTCGGGTGGAAGGGTGGGGAGGGTGAGGGAATAAAAGACTACACATTGGGTACAGTGTACACTGCTCAGGTGATGGGAGCACCAAAATCTCAGAAATCACCACGAAAGAACTTATCCATGTAACCAAAACCTACGTTTCCCAAACACTATTGAAATAAAAATGAAAAAATAAAAGAAGGAAAACATCTGGAATTCCTTAAACATGTATTCTGAGCCAGATGCATGAGAAGGGTTTTGTGTGCATTACTCATGTATTGCTCACAATAATTCTAGAAAGTAGGTACTTTTATACTCCAATTTATACATAATGAAACTGAGGCACAAAGATGATTAAAAATATTCCCAAAGTAACAATGCAGATAAGAGGCAAAGCTGGATCTAAAGTGCAGAACTGAATCTTAACACTTAAACTCAGAGGTAATGTGCTAATAGACAAGGTTCAGGCAGTGAGTGGTATGCCGAGTGGGGAAGGGAGCATCTGATACAGGCATGTGAGTCTGAAGGAAATTTTAAAACAATAATAAAACAGACTAGAAGTTACACTGTGTTTTATTACGTATTTATTTATTTATGAGACAGGGTCTGGCTCTGTAACCTAAGCTGGAGTGCAGTGGCACAATCTAAGCTCACAGCAGCCTCAAACTCCTGGGCGCAAGTGATCCTCCTGCCTCAGCCTCCTGAGTAGCTGGGACTGTGGGTGTGCACTGTCATGCCCAGCTAATTTTCTGTGTGTGTGTATTTTTTGTAGAGACTAAGTCTTGCTATGTTGCCCAGGCTGGTCTTGAACTTCTGGGCTCAAGTAATCCTCTTGCCTCAGCCTCCCAAAGTGCTTGGATTACAGGTGTGAGCCCTCACACCTGGCTGACTATGTTTTATTATTACTGTGAGCCAGGGATTCTGAACAAAGTCAGAATTTTAATACTCGCCTCTGCCTGAGTGGAGGGCTCCCAACATCCCTCTTCCCTTCATATGTCAATGGTACTAGGGATCATTTTGAACTATTCAAAACCATTTAGATAGGCAAAGTAAACACACCTCTCTTCATTGGGTGTGTTGGTCTTTTCAATATATGAAAGTGGAATTCTCAAGAACACACTCTGGGATATCCCTTGGATTATCTCATCTCCTCATGGGCAGCTTTGTATTTTGTTTCTAAGCTATTACTTCCTCCAGAAGACCCTCATGAGTGGGCAATAGATTTGCCATGACTCAGAGAGAAACAAACGTGCCCATGTACAGATAGTGACTTTTCTGCCTATGAGCCATAACATACATCTTTTGCAGCCTCACTCAACACTACCTTACAAACAAAATTAGGAGACACGGAAACAAGTTTCACCATCCATGTATAATGGATTTCAAACAACAATTTCTAGACCCAATTTCTCCCCAGGCCCCTAGACATAGTGGACTGCTTAATCTCCATTTGAATGCCTAATACACATATCAAATATGAAATGCCCCCAAACCGGTTGTAAGTGTCTCACCTTTTTGTCCTGGCACGGAAAGCAATCTGTCCACTCTGACCAGTTGCTCAGCTGGCAGGTAACTGCTGCGGGTGTAGCTGCCCGTCTTACTCTCCTAAAGAAAGGGAAGATCCATGCATCAATTTTGAGATGCAAAATTTAAGCAAATGAGAAAGCTGTGCACATTTTCCTTCCAGTAAAACATGGTTTGGAAGAAATGAGGAATGAACATTTATTGTACTCCTACTTTATGTAGAAATGCCAACAGAAATGAGAGAGTGTATGGTGCTAGAGGGTTTATATAAATTATCCCTTTAATACTATATCAGTCCCCCATGCATCAAATTATTATAATTTTAGAGAGAAGAATATTAAAGAGGGCTAACAATTTTTGAAGAGCCAAAGTAGCAGAAAGCTCAGTGGTTAAGAATGTGGAGTCTGGGGTAAGAGGATTGGGTTTGAATCTTAACCACTTGCTGACTTTGAAAACTTGAGTAAATTACTTAATATCTCTGAACTACAGCTTTCCCATCTATAAAACTACATTAAAAAACATTACCTAAAAGGGTTATTGAAAGTGTATTGAAATGCTTATGAAAGGTTTACTACAAGATGATTTTCATTATTACATGCTGGGACATTATGTGGATTATCTCATTTAATCTCTATAACAATCCTTGGAGATAAATATTATTAGATCTATTTTATGTACAGTGTAAGAAAGCTGGGATTCCTAAAAGCTAAGTAGCCCTGAAGTCATAACCCAGGAATGACAGAGGCAAAATTGGAACTAGTTGGTTTGATGGCAAAACCCATTTCCTGCTCCTCATCATGCTACTGCCTCATTTTATGAATCAGCCAACAGACATGAGAGAGCATATCTCCAAGCCCACGATCCTTCTCTTACCCTATACTTCCCCCTCACCAATTAAAATGCCTACTCAGGGAAAGAGAGACAAGCCGCAAGTTTGCCTGGCTTCCACATTAGCCTCTTCCCATAGTACCACTGCTACAACTTCAAAGCCAGATTGGCCCACTGGGAAAGTGGGAACACTGTTAACACTAGAATTACCACAGCCTCTGAGAGCCAGGCAGCCACTGCTGTGATGAATGGCATGATTATAACCCTAGTGTAGGAACAGAAAGTGTTTCAAATCTCATGCTAATGATGTAATGAATTTGATGAATAATGACACCTAAGTTGAAACTCGGCACAAGGAGCCATGGAATAGTTCAGAAAATTTTGTCTATCTTTAACTCTGGTTCTCAAACTTTTGGTCTCAGTATACCTTTACATTTCAGCAAATTACTAAAGACTCCGAAGAGCTGGTAAGTGGGCTAGATCTACCAATATTCACAGAATTCAAAATTAAAACTGAGAAATTTAAAAAATATTTATTAACTTATTTAAAATTACAATAACAAACCTATTACATGTTACCATAAATGTACATTTTTGCAAATCCCTTTAATGTCTGGTTTAGTAGAAAATAGCTAGAATCTTATTTCTGCTTCTTCATCCAATCTGTTGCTATATATTGATTTGGTTGAAATCTATGAAGAAAAGTCAGCCTCACATGGTTATGTAGTTGAAACGGGGAGGAGTGTTTTAACAGCCTTTTCCAATAACTGTGGATGTTCTCCTTTGGTATTACATGAAAACTTGACAAGTGGCAATTTCTTACATGTTAGTGGCATGTGGAACCTGAAAGCATATAAGTGAATTTTTTGTTCTCTGTCACATTAAAATCCATTGGTCTTTATACTTTGAATGGATCTTGTGCCCATATACAATTTTTATGATATCAGGCATTTGAAATTTGGAAAATAATGGTTCACTGAGTATGTGCCTTACAAATATTAATGCATTTCACTGTATAATATCTAAACATCAAACCTGTTAATATCACCAGTGATCTCGTCAAGTTCATGGTAGTGGATATGTTTCCCCAAATTTTAATTTTCTCATAGAAGCTCAAATCTTGTCATTAGTAACAAGTAATGTTATTTGTTTTCCTTGAAATGATAGGGTCTCTGCATTTTTTATACAATGCATGCCAAATATCTAAGCCCAAATAACCATAGTTTGGTAGTTTTTTCATCAAGAAAAAATGATGTTCCAGGAAAAAAAGTGGTCTTACTGACTGATGTTTATGTCCCCCCATATTTATATGTTGAAACCTAATCCCCAATCTGATGGTATTAGGAAGTGGGGCTTTTGGGAGGTGACTAAGTCACGAGGGTGAAGCCCTCATGAATGGAATTAGTGCCCTCATTAAAGAGATCACAGGGACCTCCCACATCCCTTCCACCACGTGAGGACACAGCTAGAAGACGATCACCTGTTAACCGAAGAAGTAGGCCCTCACCAGACACTGAATCTGCCAGTGCCTTGATCTTGGACTTCCCAGTCTCCAGAACTGTGAAGAATAAATGCTTGCTGCTTAAACCATCCAGTCTATGGTAATTTGTTATAGTAGTCCAAGTAGTAAGACAAGTGGCTACCTTAACTTACAGTTCAAATAATTGCTTTTCCTCAAGACAACCATCATACTCAGTGTATACTCAATGATTTCTTTATGCGTTCTTCCCATTTTGTTACATAGAATATTTAAGTCCCATCTATTCAAGGATTGAGGTTTAATTAAATTAACAATTCTTACTGTTTCTAGAAGGACTTTCTTAAGTAAAACTTAAAACTTAGGAGTTTTGTTTGTTTGTTTATTTTTTCCTATGAGATTAGTGCCACTGCCTTGATTTTGACCAAGGCCCTAGCAGTTTTATCCATTGGTGCCTCTGTACCATCAGTGCGACTGTAAACACAGTAAAAGGGGAAAATAATGTCTTACCATTATTATGAGAACTGTTTTGAAATTACAGTTCCCCTGAGAAGATGGTGGGGACTTTCTGGGGTCTAAAGAACACACTTTGAGAAACTCTAATTTGTAACATGGTGCTAGCAGGCACAAGCCCTCCCATCCCTTCAAAGAAAACTTCATTGCCCAGCTCACAATATTCCCCCTACATCAATTCCTGTCATCATGCTGGGAGACTCATCATCCTTATAAACGAGTCATCCAACTCTCTGGTTGCTCGGTTGCTCCTTTTCCTTATCTGTAATTATCTTCTCTTCTGAACCTTCTCACTCTCTAAAACAACTCCTCCTCCAAGTCATTCATTCATGAATCACCTGTGAATAGTTACTTGGGGCCTCCACAGCCTCTTGTTCTTCTATCTTATATGCTTAAGGGGATTCCCACTGCACTTTTTCTTGAACCTCATTGGGATCTCCATTATCTCAACATCTAAGCTTCCTCCCTTTCAATAAGACCCCCTCTTCTCTTTATTTACCTTTATAACCAGTTTTGATTCCATGATTCATCACTTTACAATCTTACCTATATTCTAAACACCTAGACCCCACTGTTCCCTCAATCACACCTAACTGTAAATCCCAACCCTGAATGAATCCAATTATCTACCTCTTTACTTTGGTTAATTCCTATGTATCTTTCATTCTCATCATAAACATCAATTCCTTAGGGAAATATTTCCTGATATCCAGACTGGTTGAAAACCTCCTTCATATGATTTCGTCAATCTCTGCACATTTTCTCAATTCTTAATTATCAAACTTGTAATATTTGTATGATTTATTTCTTCTCTACCAGATTCTAGGCTCTATGAATGCAGATACTGTCTATATTTGCTACAGAGTTCCCAGCACCTATCATGGGCCAGACCCATGGAAAGTGCTCAGTAAATATTTACAAAAGGAAAAAAGGAAGGGAAAGAGGGAGGGAAAAAAGGAAGGAAGAAAGGAAGGAAGGAAGGAAGGGAGAGAAGGAGGGAGGGAGGGAGAGAGGGTGGGAGGGAAGGGAGTGAGAGAGGGAGGGAAGGGAAATAATAAAACCAATTTCTGGGATATAGGCAGTGACATTGTTGAGATATTTATTTGAACCTGATTCTTATAATCTAAATTAAATTAGATCCTGGTATCTTGACATTCAAATGGCTCAGGGTTGGTTACACACGTATTTTTCTAATAGACTGTTCTAATAATAAAAGTTTGAAGTGGGGGAACATGGCGAATTGGAAGGAGAGACAGAAGGTATAGGGAGAAGGTTTGAGAACAGAAAAGGACTCCAGCATTATTTCTGCATCTCACTACACAATTGTCAAGATAATGTCATTGTAAGCCCATAGAGACTGCATTATGTGTCAAACCAGAGGGAAACAGTACTAATGGATGGAAGCAAAAGCCTAGACAGAGAGCAGTTGGTGTATTGCTGTAGTTTTAAAAGCCTTGTGACATGAAGTCTAGACAGAGGCATACATGCTAATGCTATCACGCAGGCCAGAGTACAGAAAGTACACCAGGACCATTCATTAAAGTCATTACAGGGCTCCAACCTTTTAGCCAATACCAATGTGACCAACATTTTATTATTCCAATAAATTTTTCAATGTAGTTCATTTTTTGATGATTATAAAAGTAATACAGTCTCATTACAGAGAACATAAGAAAGATCATAAATGAAAAGAATTGCCCCAAATTTTACTGTCATTAATATTTAGTTATATTTTCTTCTGTTTATTTTCATAACATATTGAGGTCATACTGAGTATTACATTTTATATCCTGATTCTTCCACTTAATAATAGAGCAGAAACATAAACTATTTATGGTAATACACATTGTTCCACTCCCCTTATATTAAACAATTAGATTATTGAGTCCCCAGTTTTTCTGTATTCAAGTTATTTATTGAAGATATATCCTCCAGAGTGGGATGACTGCATTGAAGGGATTTTAGAGCTTATGGCACATATTGCCAAATGGCTTTCCAAAAGAACTGTATAAATTTTTTAATTACTTAAGGAGCCATTCATAATTCCATGGCCTAATAAATCTTGGAAAATATTTTTAAGGCATCTCTCAGCTGGCGAAAATCTACTCAATCAGTAAGACATTTAATACGGAGCATAGGGACTCAGGAGTCTTTGCTTCTAATCTTCAGTTTGCCTCTCATCTGCTGGGCTACTATGAGCAAGCTGCTTTAACTGACTTTTAGTTTTTTAGTCTGTAGAATGAGCACAAGTCTATATGGTGCTATTGCAGAGTTTCTCAAAATGTACCCTGCAGAGTACCAGTTCCTGAGATATGCACTGGGGTCGGGGAGGAAGAGGAGAAAAGTTCCATGGTCAAATACATTTGGATGAACTGCATACACCATATTGTTCTTGGAGATTCAAAATGCTCAATAACATATTGAAGGTTCAGAGAGTTTCTGCATTTTAATTTGCATAACCTGGCATTTCCCAAATTTTGTGAGGAAACACAGGCCATTTCTTTTTGTATGCATCATCTGTAAGACTATGTAACACAGTTGAAACACCGATGTAAAAGAAAGAGGTTTAGAGTCCAGCAAATATGCATTTGAATCTGATTTCTGCTACTTATTGAACTTCAATTTTCTTATAGCTATAAAACAGGGAAAATCGTTTGCAAGACTATTTTGAATATGGGGTGAGATCATGTATGTAAAATCTCGAGCACAAGCCTGGCATACATGTTAGCATCACTCTAACCTTGTCAACGTCACACATGCTCATCAAACCACCCCATCTTCATCAAAAATATATTGAATGTACTCGGATAGGGCTGTGGACAAGTGAGATGCTTCCCATCTGCCTTTTAAAATAGGGCAGCATATTGGGCAAAGAGTCTAAAACCTAGACTTGAATAAGCAATGCGCAAGTCAAACACTTGACCCAGAATGTGGCCTCTTCAGCATTTTAGAAAAGAAAATAATTAATTAGCTACCAATCCTAGGCTAGAAGGTCAGAAAGTCTAACTCTGATGATTACCAGGGGGTTATCCCAATAAATTGGCTCAGCTTGTATTAAAATCTGATTATCACTAATTATATAATCTTAAGCCAGTCCCATCCAGTTACATGGAGATTCCATCATACAATAGAGGTATTTTAGATTTAACTTTGAAAGTGCTCAGTCTTCAGCAACCTCCATGTTGCTAAGTGCAGTGGAAAATTGTCTAGTTTTGTTTTACTTGCTCTCTGCTATGGTTTATTTGTCCCCACTCATGTTGATTGCATGAGTGTAATAAGTAGGGGGAGAAAAACAAACTCATGTTGAAACTTGATTCCCGATGTGGCAGTGTTGGGCCTGGTGGGAGGTGTTTGGGTCATGGGGCAGATCCCTCAGGAAAGGCTTAGTGCTGCTCTTGTGGTAGTGAGTGGGTTCTCCTGGCTAGACAGACTCATTCTCACTGGGCCCATGGAAATGAGTTGTTGTAAAGCAAGGTTCCTCCTCCTGTTTGGTCCCTCTTCGAATGTGCCCACTTCCTTTTTTACCTTCTCTGCCATGTTTTGAAGCAGCACAAAAGTACTCACCAGGATGTTCCTAATTTATTTTCTTTATAGAACTTAAAGTATATAAAATATTTGCATACATTTTCTAGAATAGAAGCTTCATGAGAGCTGAGAGCAAGCACTTTGTCTTTCTCATTTATATCCCCAGGGCCCAGAACAGTACCTGGCATATAATAGGTGCTCAATAAAACACAATAAGCATGTTTATGTCAATTTAATAAAAAAGCTCTCACCAGAAGCCAAGCAGATGCTGGCATCATGCTTCTTGTACAACTTGCACAACCATGAGCCAAATAGACTCCTTTCCTTTATAAACTACACAGCTTCAGGTATTCCTTTATAACAACACAAAACTGACTAAGATGCAGTCTGTGAACCACTTTTTTCTTCATGAGAACTTTCATCTCTTGGACTTCTTCAGCACAATTCCTCCTCACTCTCTTCCTGCCTCTGGCCAGTTCTCCAAAAACTGGAATTCCTCAAAGTGCAGTCCGGTCTTTCTTCTTTTTCTCTTTCTGCTTTTTTCACCCTTAAGAAGGTAAGATCCACGTCCTTGGCTTCATACACCATCTGTGCAAATGTTCCTACATTTAGACCTTCAACCTAGACTAGTCCTCTGTAGTTCTGTTTTGTTTATCCAACTTCTCCATTTGATATGTCTATCAAATGCCTCTTAGACATGGCAAACTTAATGGTTCCACATGTAAACTCTTCATTTTCTCTTTTAAGCAGCTCCTTGTTATGCCTTCCTGTGGGCCAAGACCTTCTTCTACTTTACCTTTCTCCAATCCATTCTCTGCACAGCAATCAAGAAAATTTTTTCAAATGAGAAATCAGATAACATCCTTCCTTTATAAGACTCTCAGTGATATTTGTTTTTGTGTTTGTGTGTGTTTTACTACCCATACACTCAATTCCAAATTTCTCATTGTGGTGCCTAAGGTTCTTTGGGATCTGGCCTCTGTCCAATTTTGTGACATCTTCTTAAGGCACATTTCTCTGCTTTCATGTTGCTCCCATCCTTCAGTTCTCAAACATGACAAGCCACTTCCAACCACAGAGTCTTAGCACAGGTGATCCCTCCGCTTTACCCTGCTCTTCACCCGGCTTCTCACTACCGCCCTTCACATCTCAGTTTAAATGCCATCTTTACAGAAAATTCCCTCAATCAGCCTGTCTTTAGATTGCTCTGATATCCTCTAACAAAGGGCCCCATTTATTTCCTTCACAGTATTTATCACAATGTAAAAAAAAATTTTTTCTTTTGAGATAGAGTCTTGCTCTGCTGCTCAGACTGGAGCGCAGTGGCACGATCTCGGCTCCCTGCAGCCTCCGGCTCCCAGGTTCAAGCAATTCTCGTGCCTCAGTCTCCCGAGCAGCTGGGACTACAGGCATGTGCCACCATGCCCAGCTAATTTTTTGTATTTTTAGTAGAGACAGAGTTTCACCATGTTGGTCAGGATGGTCTCGAACCCCTGAGCTCAAGTGATCCACCTGCCTCGTCCTCCCAAAGTGCTAGGATTACAGGTGTGAGCCACCGCACCCACAATTTTTAAGATAATTTTTTTTTATATATTTATTGACTAACTCCATCGCTACACTGTAAATCCTATGAGTGTTGAAACATTATCTGTTCAGTTTATTACCTAACACCTAGCATACATGTAATATTTATTTATTGAATGAATGAATAAATAAATCCAAAAAAGTATCCACTGTGTGCTAGATGCACATAGAATTCCATACAGAACTTTAAGTTCCAAGCATGTACTGGGCTCTCCTGCAGTATTTGCATAATGCTATTTCCTCCACAGAATGCTAATCATATCTCATTCATCTGGCCAAACCTTTCCACTTCAGTTCATTCTCTCCAGATATCTTTCTTTAGCCTGCCTGTCCTATGCTAACATAGTGCCATATACATGGATCTTCTAACACTTTATTCCTACTCCTAGACTGCAAGCTCTGGAAGACAGAGATTATGACTGTATTGCTCACCATTGTACCCTAGTGCTTAGCACAGTACCTTGAATATATTATCTCATATAATCTTAAGTTATTTCATTAAAATTTCACAAGAACCCTGTGGTGGTAGGAAGTACTATTCCCATTTTATAGATGAGTAAAACAGATTCATAAGAAGTTGAAATAACTTGCTTAAGGTTATGTAGGTAGAAAGTGGCAAGGCCAGAATTCAAACCAACAAAGACTCCAAAGCCTATGCATTTTTTAAGCATTCTGAGATGTATTCTGAAGGATTTCTGACAAAAGAGAAATAGGGTAATAAAAATAATTTTCTAAAGGCTTACCATGTACCAGGTTCTGTTATAAGTACTTTATATAAACTTACTAAAGTCCTGACAAGAACTCTAAGAAATATGTATTATCTCCATTTCATAGATGAAACAAAAAATGAAGCTTAGGAAGTTTAAGCAACTGGCGCAACTTCCATAGCCACTACGTGGTGATGCCAGGACTTAATCCCAGATTGATTATACTTCATAGCCCAGACCCAATGCCACCTGAAGTATTGCTAAAGATTAGTTACCCTGAATAACAGTTTCCATATTACATGATTCGCTTTTGAGTCACACCCACTACTCCAATTGTTTTCATTAATTAAAAATTCATGTTTCCTGAATACATATCAATTTTCAGTCTTCTGGACTACTATTAAAAATATTCACATGGCCTTGGCCCAAGATGCTTTGGTAAACATACTCTGATGTCCATAAAAGCAATAAAATAAAAAGGGACATCATGATTGAAACTTCTTTAGGATCAACTGCCTATAGGCCTACTTAGCAAAAAGAAAAACTTTAGAAGCTTAGATAGTTGTCCTCTATGTTTGGGGTCTTCATTCACATTTTTTAAATTCCCCTAAGGAATTCTGCTTTTCATCAATGGAAATATTGGGTTGAAAATTTTGGCCTTCAATTGATGGATAGTAAAATCAACACTCTTAGAAGAATGTAATAAGGGTTAAATTGGCCAGTATTCATAAATGCCTATCTGAGTTATCTTGTTATTGAATACTCCCCTTCTCTCTCTAAGGTTCAGTTTCTTGCTCTGCAACATGAGTGGATTAAGCTAGATACTAAATCCTTCCTAATTCTAAAGACCAACGAAACAGAAATAATGGAATCAGCATACAAGAACATTAAAAGTGTTATTGTAAATATGCTCCAATATTTGAGGAGAATTAAGAGGATAATGAGAAGGGTAGTAGAAGATAGTAGAAGGTACCAAATGAGACATTTAAAGCTGAAAATTATATTAACTGAAATTTAAAATTCACTGGACAGGCTTAACAGCAGATTAAACATTGCAGAACAAAAAATTAATAAATATAGAGTTATAGAAACCAAAATGAAACAGAAAATAAACTGCCAACAACAAAATAAGAAAGAGCATCACTGACCTGTGGGACTTTATCAAGCAGGCTAGCATCTCTGTAATTGGACTATAAGAAAGACAGATGAGAGTGTATGGGGCAGAAAACATATATGAATGAATCATGGCAAAAATTTTCAAATTTGATGAAAACTATAACCCACAGAACCATACCACCTTGGAATTAGAAAAATATAAATCTAAAAGATGGCCCAAAAAAAGAAAAAAATAGAAACAAGGAAGACATGGGACACATAGAAAACAAATTGTAAAATGGTGAACTCAAACCCAAGCATATCAATAATTATATTTGATATAAGTGGTCTAATTACTATAATCAAAAGACAGAGATTGTTAGACTAGCTAAAGCAAGCCTCATCTATGTATGTTCACATGAATTATATTTTTAAATATAGTCATATAAGTTAAAATAAAATAATAGAAAAAGATTTGCCATGCACACACAGATCATAAGAAAGCAAGCATAACTATATGTATTAATAATAAACATAATAGGTTGCAGAACAAGGACCATTGCCAGGGATAATGGAAGCCTTTCATGATAATAAAAGGGTAAATTATCAAGCAGTCAGAATAACTCTAGATGTGTGTGTGTGTGTGTGTGTGTGTGTATTTAATAACAGAGCTTTAAAATACATGGAGCAAAAACTGATAGAACTGTAAGTAGGCAAATCCACAAATACAGTTGGAGATTGCAACATTCTTTTCTCAGTAATCAATAGAACAAGATGAAAACTTGAGTGACATTAACAACCAACTTGACTTAATTGACTTGGAACTACACTGAACAACAGAATAATGCACTTTTTTGAGCATATGGAATATTCACTAAGGTTGATCACACTCTTAGTAAAAAACAAATCCCAATACATTAAAAGAACTGCAATTAAAACTTCTAAGCAAATTAGAAACTTGAAATTAAAAACTTCTAAGCAACACACATAATGAAAGGTGTTATTTGTATAAAATATGTAATAGAGACCCACAGATTTTGAGGCTGAAGATTATAACTTCCTTCCATCACCATTGTTTTAAAATGTTTTTCTCAAATAACACATTTTTAAGATTTTATAATAAGCAACTGTTAAACATGAACTTATAAAATAAATTTGTATAAAATATGTAATAGAGATCCACTGATTTTTAGGCTGAAGATTATAACTTCCTTCCATCACCATTGTTTTAAAATGTTTTTCTCAACAAATTTTTAAGATTTTATAATAAGCAAATGTTAAACATGAACTTATAAAATAAATGTGTACCATTAAAATGTAAAACTATATAATATGTTTTCAATGTTAGGGTTCATGTGAAATTTTATTTTGCAGGGAAAAAGAGTGCTATTACTTAAAAATAAAGTTTAAAATCTCTGACTGATCAGAAAGATCCATGCCAATTGGCATATTATAAATTTGTTTTGTCTGATTATTGTCAACCATCAAGGGAATGGAAATACCAAAAAATAACAATAACAATCACACAGCAGCACTGGTGACAGCTTTCACTGAATGATTACTAGGTAATAGGTAACAGGTATTGATCTAAGTACTTTCATGCATTTAATTTTTGTTCTTACTTTCCTCCCATTGTACAGGTAAGGAAAATGAAGCTTGGAAAAATTAAATAACTTGCCTGAGATCAGACAGCTAGTGAATGTCAGTGCCAGAATTTGAACCTAATAAAATCATTTCACCATGTAGTTTTTCACTTTCAAAGTCAGTGTCAGACACACTGGCATTAGATACAAAGACCTCATGATTTCCTCCTTCAGCACTTTGTAAAGTATTTAATTGGTTCCATTTTGCCTTGACTTGAAATTTGCCCCTTCACTGGTCTGTCTTGTTTGATAAGTTCATCAAACATCAAGACTCTTTGTTCATTTTCAAAAAGGATTACAATGATAAGCTTTTATAATTAAGAATATCTCGGCGGAGATTTCCTTTACACAGTTCTCTTGCCTTTATCTTCTAATTATTACAGATGAATTTTCTGATTTCAAAATTGTATTTCCTTTAAATACAAGTTACAAATTAACTGCTTTTAAAAATGCTTTCCTCCCTTCTGAACTGTTACTTAAAGGAATTCTCACTTGCTCTAGCATTTAAAAGCACTAATGATTCAAAATTGCATCATCTATCAAGAATTAGAATTAAATAATTCTATTTAAAATCTTTAATGTTTGGGAGACAGGGATTGCTTTAAAGCTATCCCGAAGGTGAAATAAAGGACTGCTTAGGCTCCACAAAATACTTAATATTAAGATACCAAAAAAAAAAAACCCATGAAGCAAGCTTGGAAATCTCAAGAAAATAGAATGGGTAAAACACAATGTACATATGAAACTACATCACCTCCCTCTATTATCCCATAGCAAAAGATAAAGTCATTTTTAGAATCAAATGACCCAGCATCTCTATAGTCCTTTGCCTTCCCCACAGTGATTTTGAACACATTATCTAATTTTATCCTCCCCCAAAACTATGAGACAGCACTCTTATGATGCTCTTTTACAGATAAGAAAGTAGGGGTTAAGTTAACTGTTCAGCACCACTCAGGAGAACTGTCATTTATTAAGTGTCTACTATAAGCTGAGTACATTTTATATTCAGGATCTTATTTTATCTACATTAACTCTTATAGAAGAGGTATTATTATTCTCATTTTACAGCTAGGGAAACTAAGGATCAAACCGATGAGATGATTTACCCTGAATTATTCAGCTTCTAAGCATTAGAGCTGTGATTTACACATAGACCAATTTGACTCCAAGTGCACGGTCTTTTCACTGTCCCATCCTCCTCCACAGGAGTAGTAATAACATGAAAAGAGGTTATTTTCCATTCTAACACAGCCTCTGCTGCAAACATAAAAGTGTCTTAGTTCCCCAGCAGGTGATTCCTACGTGCAAGTTTTGCAGAGACATATGGCCCACTTACTGGTTCACCTTCTCCTGTGCAGTTACCCCAGGCTGACAAGTCATCAAAGACAAGATGAAGAAAACAACAGCAAACATCTCAGCCAGAAGCCACCGCACTATATTACCTTGAAGGAATAAAGCTATCTATTCAGGAAATTGGAGTAAAAGATGTCTACAGGCTGGGACCTGTAAGATCTATCTGATGTTGGAAACTCACCCAGATACACATTGATTTGCACAGAACTCACTTGATTCTCTTTCAAATATGGTTAAATAGTAACCAGGGTATTGATTACCTAAATACTCTAAAAGTGTTCCAGGCACCAAAGGCCACTGCCCTTTAGACCTTTTGAAAAACAATATCCGTGTGGTTAAGGAAAGGAAGATATTTAACTAATACCAGCTTAGCAAAGAGGTCTTATTTTCAAAAGGAGGCAAAAACCAAACCAAGATGCAGTTCTAGAATTCCTGGTCTTTTTCAGTGTCTCTTGGAACTTCTGAGGTCAGATCAATCTATTTTGCAAGACTGAAACAAGGCTAATATTGGTATATCAACTCAGACATAAAGCACTCAGAAAAATGTAGGAAATGCTAACCATTACATGAAGGTTCTACTGTACGTTGCCAAACATCTAAATCCTGAAATATATGTGTAATTCAATGGACTTTCCACTTTTCATACAGACATTGGGCATCATTGAGATCCAGGGTATCTGTTTATTGAGGGGGCCAAATGTCTTAAATAGACATCTCCAGAAGCACTCTCTAGAATTATAATGTCAATAAAACCACACATCAGGACTAATGGTGCCATACCTGCCTAAAATCTCTTACTCTTCAAGACATAAATTAAATTAAATTGAGATGGATGGATAGATAGGTAGGTAAATACATAGATGATGGATAGATACACAGACAATAATTTAATGGCTACTATGTGGCAGGCATTTCATATGTCTTATTTAATTTTCATAGCAGGGATATGAGATGGAAATTATTAATTCCATTTAGATGGAATTAATGAAGATGAAGAAATGGAGGCCCAGAGAAAGTAACTAACTTGCCCAAGGTTGTATAGCTGTCTCAATATCCTTGGGAATATTTAGATTCTCTCATTAGCAGGACTGTCCAGTAGTATCATTACTGATCTCAAAGTTAGGAGAAATTTTAATGAATGACTTGTATGCTTAAGAAAATGTGTTTCTGATTTAAATGCGGAGATTTTTTTAAAGGCACCAAATTGTTATCATCTCCCTTTTCTCAGAGATTTTGGTAAACTTGACAGAAGTAAATGTGGATTCTGGGTCCTGGGAAGTCCCCGGAGCCTGTGATTTCTGTGTCTCTCTTTCTCCTACCTCTTTTCATTTTGACTCCTTGGTCCTCTTGGCCTCAGTTCTACCCTACTTTGAAAACCACACTTTCTGTTTGCTCCACAATATTCCAGCGTGACTAGCATTTCATTTTGCTTTCACTGAAGATATGGAGGACAATGGAGGGTATTCTATCTGGACACCCTGGGGCCAGTTCAGGATGGCACATCTGGAGGCCACCTCTTTCTACCAACTTCCATCCTTTCTCATCCGTAGTCAAAGTTCCTGAAACAGATCCACAGAGCCCCCTGGGAAGTGTAGCTCAAGTTCCCCCACTCCTCCCACAGCTTTTCTCATGAGGAGACAACCTCCGCTACAACAGTGTCCTCCACTGGGGGTGATTTTGCCCTCAGGGGATATTTGGCAATGTTCAGAGATATTTATGTTATCACAACTTGGGGAGTTGTGCTACTGGCACCTAGTGCGTAAAGGCCAGGGATGCTGCCACACATCCTACAGTGCCCAGGACAAAAAATTGTCTGGCCCAAAATATCAAGAGTACCTAGGCTGGGAAACACTGCCCCACAGAAAAACTGGTCTGCCTTCCCCTGATCCCTGAAATAAAAGCAATCGGGTCTTCCTTCTTAAAGCAGCTCCTTCTCTAAATGTCTCTGATGTCTTTTCTCCTTACCCAAGCCCTCAATGGCTTTAGGACTCTTCCTTAACCTTTATCACCTCTCCCACCCCACCCCCAGCACGGTCCCTTATACCCCACCATATTCCTCTGTAATATTTTCCTGCCAAGCTTCTCTCCTTCATCCTCACTGTCTTTGATCCATATCAGGGCCTCATCTCTCTGTAACTCTCATTACCCACTCCTAGTGGGCCTCCACTTCTCACTTCAACCCTCCCTCTCTAGCACTGCTGGATTCATCATCAAGGAAACAATCTCTGACAACATCACTGTCCTACTCAGAAAGCTGCAGTGGCTCCCCCATTATCTCTAAGAGTAAAAGTCCAAATTCCTCCATAAATGAGTCCCAGCCCATTTTTGCAGCCTTATCAACCACAACTCTGCAATGATCCCCCACAGCATAGTCTAGGTTCCCTTCACCTTCCTCATGCTTTGCTGCTGCTGTGGCTTTGCTCACACTGGGCCTTCCATCTGAACTATCTTCATCCGTCATCTCCTCCCTTTTTGCCAAGCATCTTCTCAAATGTCAGATCCATCATGGATCTTTTGCTGGTGGCTCCATCTAAAAGGTGTCTGCTTGGAAGCTCAACCTCATAAATGTGCTAGCAGCACTTATAATTTTTGTTTCATATTCTTCTAGGGGAGCAGGGCGTAACTGGAGAATGAACATGTCTTTAGTGTAAGTTCTGTGTCTGATTCTTATTTATAATCATCCATATCACTTAACAATAAAATCTTTAATAGGAAATTGTTGTTGATTGAGTGAATAAGCAAATAAGCAATTAAAAATAGATTACTATTTCAGAATATGATTAGACATATTTTCTCATTTGATTCTCAAAATAATCTCATGAGATTAAAAATCATTATCCTATCCTGGGCAACATGGTGAAACCCTGTCTCCACAAAAAATACAAAAGTTAGCCAAGCATGGTGGCATACACTTGTAGTCCCAGATACTTGGGAGGCTGAGGTGGGAGGATCACCTGAGCTCGGAGGCAGAGGTGGGAGGATCATCAGATCTTGTGAACCAAGATCACGCCACTGTGCTCCTGCCTGGGTGTCAGAGCCAGACCCTAGCTCAAAAAAAAAAAAAAAAAATCGTTATCCTGAAGAGAATCTTGAGAGTCAGACAGATAGCGATTGAGGGGGAAAATGAAACTAAGATGTTTGGAATCCCAAGCCCAGTGCCTGCCACCTTACATGTCTACTTAATCTTCACAGCAACCGTGGAAGGCCAGTAATACTAATGCAGTTTTGAAAATAAGGATATTGAAATTCAGGGTGGTTAAGTAATTTGCCTGCAATCACACAGCAGGCGAGTCTTGGAGTCATGGATTTATAATCCGTCCAACTGCAAAACTTCAGATCTTTTTGGTCTGGTGCAACTGCTAAGTGGTATATCAGGACTAAGGCCTGGGCCTTCCAGCTCCAAGTCTGATGATCTATTATGCTTTAGCAGAGAACGAATATAATTTCTAGGGGACAAAGAAAGCAAAATCATCACAGGATGAAATCAAAGGAGAAAAGCTAATAAGAAATGGGAGTGAGTGGAGTGAGTGTTCAGTGCCTCTATGAGTGAGTGTGTGTGTGCATGTGTGCATGCCTGCACTGGGATGGGGGAGGGGCATCTATCTGCTTTCAGCCCAACTGTTCTAAGATGAATGGGAAATGCCAAAAAATTGTTAGGTTTGCATATGTGGATTCCACCTTAATTGTAGCATTTTGTTATCAAAGATAGATAGTTATAAAATACCACGCAGAACAGACAGGGAGATGGCAATTCATTTTGAAAACACATTGCCTGTCTTAGGGAAACACTTTTCACTATCTAAGTCAGCCTGTGAGTTATGACCTCAGAAAGGAACATGTCCTATGTTGGCTCAGACTGCTCCCACGGGGTGACATCCAGATCTGTGCTCTCTGCAAAGCTTTTAGAAGCTCTGCGCCACGTTCCCCCCCGTGCTGGCCCAGTCCAAATAGGAGATCTAAATTCTGTAGTGCAAATGGAGGCAATGTGCTGGAGTGGAAAAAACACAGCTTTAGATCAGAAAGTGCCACTAGCCAGTTGTTGTCTCCTAGCCTTAGTTTCTTCATCTGTAAAATGGATAAAATAATACCTATCTAACAGGATAGGATCAAGCACCAAATGAGGATATTTAATCTAAAGATATTTAAATATCTAAAATGAAGATATTTAAACACTAAATGAAGAAATCTATTCACAACTGGGCATTTTGAGCAGCTGTTGCTGTTTTATTCAAACAATGCTCCCCCTTCTCACAATCTATTTTTCCCCATTCATATGCATGAGAGCTTTCATTTAAGTACCAAGAAAAGAGAAAGTGGAAGAAAGGAGGGATCTGGCAAAGAGACTATTGGAGGGAGGATGTGAGAAATCTGTGTGCTGGTTCCTTGGACTGATTGTGAACCCCTCTGGCAGAACGATGCAACCAGCAGAAGCTAATAGAATGACTCCAGCTGTAGATCCCAGGTGGCAACATGGTAGAGGGGCTGCTTCTACGCAAGTTCCAGTACCATGATGGCATCTAAAGGGTTGAAAACTTTGAGAGCAACTCAAAGTAGCAACTTCAACATGGACGTGGCCAATCTAACCGTGGTCATAGAAGACATAAAGTTTCTCTGTGCAGCTAACTGGTTGGTCAACATGGATGGCTGAACATACAGTTTTGTGGGTTTGCTTAAGGTATCTCTCTGGGGGCTGTGTATGTATGTGTATATGTGTGGGTGGGTGTGTGGGTATACTGGGAGATGATATCCTGCACCCTCACTGGAGAAGCCTGCAAAAATATTCAGCACAGTACCTGGTACAAAGTCTGCAATTAGCAAATGAGCATCTCCTGCCCACTGCCTTCCCCATCGTCCCTTCTTCACCATTTGTAAGATTACACATCTATTATATCTGCTTTTCCTCCTGATTACCTCATCAGTCCCTGGTAGCAGCCAACAGACATTAACAGTGGGTTTTCGACTGGAAATGAAGCGGGGCTGGTTTAGTAATTGGTCTCAATCAGAGGCTTAACAACGAATGGGCTAATGCGTGCCTGCTGCTCCCTACTTCATACTGAAGCTTTGTATTTGCATTTCAGGGGGTGGATGAGAGGGAGTCACTGTCTGGCTCATTAAAATAGAAATTAAAGACCTTTTCTCAAAGAGGCATTCAGCATTGTTAGCAGCTCCGGCCAAATCTGGGTGGTCCTTCAAAAAATCTGTGTCGGAATTTGGCTGCAATAAAAACAGAGTTAATTTTGAACCTGAGCAAATTCTCCGGGCCTATCCACTGGTCAATTGTCTCCTTCTCTGTGGTGCCTTCACTCACAGCTTGGTGCAGCATAGCCCTCTCTGTTCCCACAGTGCCAGGCCATACCACTCGCTTTAAAAGACAACTGACTTGATGGATCGTCCTTCATCCTGCTTGTGATTTCTGTGAACTTCTGGAAGGCAAGACTATGCCTGGCCCAAAGTCTTTGTGAACCAGATATTTGAGAGTCAGTGAGTGAAACTAGCTCTCCATAGCCAGGCTGGCTTCATCTGCCCCTGGTGCAAGCAATAAGGGAGCACGCTGTGTGCGGAGATGTTAAAAACAATCCTAAAGCTCACTAGAAGTCAGTTGGTTTCGTGTGGTCACCATGAGCAGGCTATTCTAAACAATGTCCCTGGTCACATCGCCTTCTCCCACAGTTTCCAACCTTCCATTCCCTCCCAGCACCACACTGAGATGTCTGTTACTTTCTGTTCTCCCGATACCCTGCGAGCTTTTTGAGAGCAAAGACCATGATTTAAATCATCTCTGTATTTCCACTGCTGACAGATAGCAGGTGCATGTTTTATACAGTTACAGGAAGATTTCAGTTTTTAGGTCTAAACCTAACTGGATTGAAATCCCAGCACAGCCATGAACCATTCTTGCAACTTTGGGCAAGTTGTTTCACCACTATGGCTTCATCATTCCTCCTATATAGTGGGTCTGATGATTATTGGGTTTATAAATATATATAAGTGTGTATATGCATACAGATATATATCATATATACACACACAGTACCTAATTGATATTTACTGAATTTACCCGAATGAGCAAGCATTTCCAGGCAAAATCGTAATGCATGCTGTTTTTCTTTGTAATCTTTTCACTTCTCACCTGATGTGGTTTGACTCCATGTCCCCACCCAAATCTCATTTTGAATTGTACTCCCATAATTCCCACATGTGGTGGAAGGGACGTGGTGGAAGATAATTTGAATCATAGGGGCGGTCTCCCCCATACTGTTCTCGTGGTAGTGAATAAGTCTCACGAGATCTGATGGTTTTATCAGGAGTTTTCACTTTTGCATCTTCCTCATTTTCTCTTGCTGCCACCATGTAAGAAATGCCTTTCACCTCCCACCATGATTCGGAGGCCTCCCTAGCTATGTGGAACTGTAAGTCCAGTTAAACCTCTTTTCCTTCCCAGTCTCAGGTATGTCTTTATTAGCAGAGTGAAAACAGACTAATGCCGTAAATTGGTACCAGCAGAGTGGGGCGTTGCTGAAAAGATACCCAAAAATGTGGAAATGACTTTGGAACTGGGTAACAGGCAGAGGCTGGAACAGTTTGGAGGGCTCAGAAGAAGACAGGAAAATGTGGGAAAGTTTGGAATTTCCTAGAGATTTGTTGAATGGCTTTGACAAAAAGCCTGATAGCGATGTGGACAATAAGGTCCAGGCTGAGGTGGTCTAAGATGGAGATGAGGAACTTGTTGAAAACTGGAGCAAAGGTGACTCTTGTCATGTTTTAGCAAAGAGACCTGCAGCGTTGGCCCCTGCCCTAGGAATGTGTGGAACTTTGAACTTGAGAAAGATGATTTAGGGTATCTGGTGGAAGAAATGTCTAAGCAGCAAAGCATTGAAGATGTGACTTGGGTGCAGTTAAAGGCATTCAGCTTTGTAAGGGAAGCAGAGCATAAAAGTTCAGAAAATTTGCAGCCCGATGATGTGATAAAAAAGAAAAACCCATTTTCTAGGGAGAAATTCAAGATGGCTGCAGAAATTTGCATAAGTAACGAGGACCTGAATGTTAATCCCTAAGACAATGGGGAAAATGTCTCCAGGGCATGTCGGAGGTCTTCATGGCAGCCCCTCCCAACACAGTCCTGAAGGCCTAGGAGAAAATGGTTTTGTGGTCTGGGCGCAGGGTCACCATGCTGTGTACATGTGGTGTACACTTGGTGCCCTGCATCCCAGCCTCTCCAGCCATGGTTGAAAGGGGCCAATGCACAGCTCACGCCATGACTTCAGAGGGTGTAAGCCCCAAACCTTGGCAGCTTCCACATGGTATTGAGACTGAGAGGGCACAGTAGTCAAGAATTGGGATTTGGGGGCCTCCATCTAGATTTCAGAAGATGTATGGAAACACCTGGATGACAGGCAGAAGTTTGCTGCAGAGGCAGGGTGCTCATGGAGAACCTCCGCTAGGGTAGTGCAGAAGGGAAATGTGGGGTCAGAGTCCCTACTGGGGCACCACCTCGTGAAGCTGTGAGAAGAGGACCACCATCCTCCAGACCCTAGAATGGTTGATCCACTGACAGCTTGCACCACTTGCCTGGAAAAGCCACAGACACTCAATGCCAGCCTGTGAAAGCAGCTGGGAGGGAGGCTGTACCCTGCAAAGTCACATAGGCAGAGCTGCCCAAGACCATGGGAACCCACCTCTTGCATCAGTGTGACCTGGATGTGAGACGTGCAGTCAAAGGAGATAATTTTGGAGCTTTAAAATTTGACTGACCTGCTGGATTTTGGACTTGCATGGGCCCTGTAACCACTTTGTTTTGGCCAATTTCTCCCATTTGGAATGGCTGTATTTACTCAATACCTGTACCCCCATTGTATCTAGGAAGTAATTAGATTTTGATTTTACAGACTCATAGGCAGAAGGGACTTGACTTGTCTCAGATGAGACTTTGGACTGTGGACTTTTGGGTTAATGCTGAAATGAGTTAAGACTTTGGGGGCTGTTGGGAAGGCATGACTGATTTTGAAATGTGAGAACATGAGATTTCAAGGGGCCAGAGGTGGAATGATATGGTTTGGCTCCATGTCCCTACTCAGATCGGATCTTGAATTGTACTCCCATAATTCCCACGTGTTGTGGGAAGGACCCGGTAGGAGATAATTTGAATCATGAGGGCGGTTCCCCCCATACTGTTCTTATGGTAGTGAATAAGTCTCACAAGATCTGATGGTTTTATCAGGGGTTTCTGCTTTTGCATCTTCCTCATTTTCTCTTGCCACTGCCGTGTAAGAAGTGCCTTTTGCCTCCTGCCATGATTCTGAAGTCTCCCCAGCCATGTGGAACTATAAGTCCAATTAAACCTCTTTTTCTTCCCAGTCTTGGGTATATTTATCAACTGCACAAAATGGATGAATACACCATCCTTTCTGTCAGGATTCTCTATTCCAGAAATACCAACCTATGGCTATTTGGGTTGGGCTTACTCTTAGCGGTGCCCAAGATGCCATCTGAAGAATCAGTAATGGCACAATCAGTAACGGCACAAGTAATGGCACTGAGAAACTGACGTAGACCACTGTGTGTGTGTGTGCCATTTTTCTATGTATTTGAGGCATCTTTATATTGTCAGCCCATGAGTATTTACATTTTAAATGAGACCCTTAAAGAAATTGTAGCCTTTAAGTCTCAGAGCAATAGTGACCCAATGGATTGATCAGTCAGAACCTGAGCTGTGGGAGTGCTGACAAGTTTTTCACTATTATGTTATAGTCAGTGATATAATGCACATGGCAATCAGTTATTGCATTCATTCCATCAAGGCTTAGGGTTAGACACTGTGGTGGACATTGAACACTCAGAGATAAAGAGAACACATCCCCTGCCCATCACCATGCCATGCCTAGGGGTGAGTGTGCCATGGAGAGCTGCAGATGGCCAAACTGGGAGCAGCCACAAACAGCTGCTGATGTGAGACTTATGCTTTGAAGGAAGCAGAAGGAAGGGGATAGGAGCTTGGTTGATGCAGAAGTTGCTTTAAACAGAGAGAGGAAGAAAGAGCAAACATCCCAGACATTGAGAATAGAATAAGCAAATCCAGTAAGGCACCAAAGAGCATGGCCATCTTGGGGCTCAACCAGCTATCTGGAGGGCTAGAACTAAGTATACCTTGAGAAGGATTGGCAGGACAGGCAAAGCCACATCCATCAACTTTGGGTTTTGTGGTTTTGGTTTTTTGTTGTTGGTTTTTGCTAAGACTCAGATATGTATTTCATCCCTAAGGACATGGAGGTACAACTGAATGAATTGAGGCTGTGGAGCCTCCTGATCAGATTTGTACTTTGCACTCTGGGATCCTCTTGGAGGATGCAGTGAGGGGCAGGGATCGGGGAGTTGGGATCAGAAGCCAAGAAACCAGGTTAGAGACCAACTCCCAGGACCTGGAACACCATGCACCTGCCACACAAGGGGAAGCCCTTGGGGACTCCCCGGAGGGAACTCAGAATCTCCAGAGTTAGGCACCTGGATTCTTATGCTAACCTGTATCAAGACCCCATTGCAGGAACTTGGGACAGTCATGTGACTTCTCCGGACTTCAGGGTCCACACCTAAGGGTTAGCTTATCTCCACTGCCTCCTCCAGTAGGCAACCTTAGGCTTATATAATCCTTATCTCAGAAATCCCTCTTAGAACTGCAGGACCAGGAAACAAATACACACACACACACACACACCATTCAAGTCTATTTTCATACTTTTATTCAAGATTCGTCTTCCCATGAGACACTCTGGGCTGTCAGGCTGTAATTAGACTTTCTCCCAGGCTGTGTGGAGTGAGAGACAGAGCCAGATTAGCCCCCTGTAAACAAATTTGGTCAGTTCTCTCCTCACCAGCCTTGTTCTGGTTGAGCGGATTTCAGCAGCTCCTGGGTGAATGTTAATGCCCCCCACGTACACAGTTGCAAGAAAAACAATAACTGTGCATTTGTGCCTCCATTTCTTGAGAACGCTCTGGGTTTCACTTTTCACAGGTCTTTGTGATGTAGCACTAGGCAGTGGGGTGTGGCATGGCAGGGAGGCAGTGCAAAGAGACTAGAAAAACCTTAAGGCAGGAGGTAGGGCACCTGGGTTTCAAGGCAAGCTCAGCCACTAATTGTCTTTGTAACCTTGCAAAAGTCACTTTAGCTCTCTGAGCCTTGGGTATCTCGCCTATAAAATGAGGCTAAGCACACCTGCCTCGCGGGCCTGCTGGAAAGAGTAATTGAGATAATGTACATGAGAGTCTTTTGTAATGCTCTGTCGACGAGGGGCCCTGCATCCAGGATCACAGGCTCAGCCGCCCACTGCATAGGATCAGGGAGTCAGGGGGGTAGAGAGCATTAGGAGAGCTTGGTGCAAAATTCTTGTCAGCATCAGCATCCTAGAAAACAGGAGAGGTCCAGACAAGATGCCCATGAACTGCCCTCTGATGAAAACTGCCCTGAAATTGAATGTAGTTATTCAATCCATGAAAGAAGAGAGAAAAGAATGAACATTTATTGAGCACTTGTGCTTTTCCTGCCTTCCTTAGGGTGGCTTTAAGTGGGAATTCTTATACCCAATCCAAAAAGAAGGAAACTGAGGCCAAAAGGAGGCAGGAGGGAGAGAGGATTTGAGGCCAAGTTAACCTGACCTCAGAGTCTGACTAGGCCCCTGTCTTTGACATAACAAGCAGATTAATGCCAAATTTAGATGAGCGACAGATGCATAATAGGTTATTAAGAAAACAAATGATATATTTGAGGGGGTCACTACTCATTTTTTCAGAGCGGCATCAGGGAGGAGGGATTTGTGTCATAAATTATATGCATCACGAAGGCAGGGGCTGTTTACTCACAGTGGTACCCCAGCACACTGCCTGGCACAGAGCAGGCATGCAATCAATATGTGTTGAATGAATGAATAAATGAGCCCTGTGAGGCTCATAATCTTCCCCTTAGCTTTTTCTGGCTGATCACAAATAGTAAGAAAGGAAAAGAAAGTCATTCACATAAATTGCCCAAGGAATTTGCACACATTCGTTGTACCAATTATTTAAATTTCTACTGCGGTATAACAAACTGCCTAAAAACTCAGTGGCTGGAAACAACATTGGCTTATTATTTCTCAGGATTCTGTGGAAGGCTGTTCAGCTGAGAGGTAAAATGGGGCTGGGACATGAAAGATAGCCTTTCATTGCATAGGGTTTCTCTGCACGTGGCCTCTCATCATTCAGGAGTCTAGCTTAAGCTTCTTTACAGCATAGCAGCTGACTCCCAAAAGATAATTATTGTGCTTATATTACACTTGTCAATGTCCCACTGGTGAAGGCAAATTGCAAGCCAACCCTAGGATCAATGTGGGAGGGACCATCCAAGGGTGTGAATATCAGAAAGTGTGGTTCATTGAGGCCAGCTGGCCACTGCAGTCTTCATGAGCAATACATAATAATGAATTCATATTTAGGAAGCTCTTAAGAAAGTGCCTGCACTTAATTGGTACTACCTAAGTATTAAAAATAGCTAATTATTATTCATAGCTAATTATAACACATTGTTATTACAGTTATAATTAACTTCCTTACTGCCACTGCTTTTATTTTCTTGAATATGAAATAAGGACCCCCAGGCTTGGGAAGCTCTCGCGTAGCCCTCAAACTCTGAGCATATTATCACTCTGTGTTACTGAAACCACAATTGTGTTTCAGTAGATGAGCTGGCAACAAACATAAAGCAGGATCCTTCTTCCTACTCTTCCCTCCTCATTTCCTTTTACTTAGTTACCCTAACCTGGGCATGCATTTTGCTTGTTCTCAGAAGTGACACTTCGTTTAGCAACCTAAACGAAGATTGCTTGTTTCCATAAAAATCAATTCACTCAACAAGCATTTTTCTGAGCCCACCATGGTCATCGCTTTCACTTTTCCAGAGATTCATTTGAAGATAGACATGAGACTCTGTCCTGGTGGATAAGATACAGAGGAAAATCTGTTGGGTAACTTCTAAGGAAAACTACCACCCTATAAGTTTGGGAACTTATAGAAACTGGTGCCTACTTCTCTTCTGGTTTCTGAAGGCATGGAAACAAAGAGATGTGCAGGGAGAATCCTCATTTCCCTTCATGTTCTTGAATATAGTCATGTGAGGTCACGATACTTAGAGGTGCCCTTTTACGTCTCTGTTGTCATCATAGAAAGAACATGCCTCAGGTATCCCTCTATCCTGGAGGAAAAGAGGCACATGGAACAGAAGGGCCCAGCAAACCTGCATACCTTCAGCTTGAATTAGAGTTGCTCAGTCAAATCCAGACTCAATCAGCTGATCTCCACCCGCCATAGCCTGAAGCCAGGCTGCTCAGCCAGCCACAGATCTGAGAAAGAGTGTGGTCTAAACTACTAGGTGTTGGATTAAGTGTTAGACAGCCTTATTGTATCAATAGCTCACCCATGAAGCATTATATTCCCCAGTCTGCTGTCCACTGAGCTGCAGAATGTGAGGTCTCAGCCCAGGACCACCTTGACATGGAGGGGAAGAGTGTAAGAAAGTTCTTAAAAGAGGTCTCTTGGAGTTTGGGAACGTATAGAAGCATAGAAACTGGTGCCTACTTCTCTTCTGGTTTCTGAAGGCAGGAGACTTGATGGAGTAGCCCACACAAGGAGGGTTAGGTAGGGACCACGGAGTACCATGTTTAGGACGAGGAGGCTGAAATACTAGAGTGATTTTATCCATGTTGCTGAAAGTGACCAAAAAGCTATGGATTTACCAATAAGATATGGGAAAGTGGATTTAGACAGAGCTTAGCTGAAGGCAGTGACTGGAAAATAAATAAAACCATATCTGGTTTGTGGCCCCAGTTTGAACTGTTCAGTAAGCCTGTTCCACTTAGTATTTCTCTTTGTCTAAAAAATTGAGCAACATCTTCAAAATGGAGATTTTATTGTGCACTTTTTCATGTGAAACATCAACAAAATTGTGGGTGCTGGTCTCAGTATGGCTCCTTTTCTGTTAATATTTTTTATTTCCTTGTTTTGTGCAAGTAAATTGTTTATACACCAGTCTCTTGCAGAAGAAATCTTTCACATGGCATCTGTATACATAATTCAAACCTACTCATCTCCAAGCTTATAGAAACTTTGAAAGATTGTTAGTTGAGTGTGATTAACACTGTTGTTGCTAAAATTAAAATTATTAATGGCAGCAGCCACTATTTCCTGAGCACTTTCTACATGTCTAGTTCTTGGGAAATGCTCTGAATGCAATTTATCCAATCCTTATACCTGCCCATGAGGGGAATACTATTATCCCATGCTCTCCCAATAATAATAAAGTAGCATCTGCTTGGCACTGCCTCTGCATCAGGCAATGAAGCGAGCTCTGAGCTCTTCACATGCATTGCCTCGGTGCTTTCTACAACTACATCAGCTGGGATGATTATTTTCCTACATATCAGGTGAGAAAGCTGAGGATCCTGTGGGTGAGAGGACTTTCCCACACCACATAGTCAAAAGAGACAGTATCTGGATTTGAACCCTGATCTGCCTACTTTTTTTTTGACAGAGTCTCGCTCTGTCACCAGGCTGAAGTGCAGTGGCATGATCTCGGTTCACTGCAACCTCTGCCTCCCGGGTTGCAGCCATTCTCCTGCCTCAGCCTCCCAAGTAGCTGGGACTATAGGCACGCGCCCCCACAACCAGCTAATTTTTATATTTTTAGTAGAGATGGGGTTTCACCATGTTGGCCAGGATGGTCTTGATCTCTCGAACTTATGATCCACCTGCCTCAGCCTCCCAAAGTTCTGGGATTACAGGCGTGAGCTACCGCGCCTGGCCTGGTTTGCCTACTTCTAAGCCGGTATTACTTCTACTTCATCTTTGACTCTTAGAAACAGAAACCATATGGCCACCCACCCACTCACTGCTGCTCTGACCTTTTGGCTACAATGTAGATTCATCTAATTATCCCCTACAGAAATTTTCTCTAGCACCAAAGGCTGGATTGATACATTTTGGTGTAATCCCATGTGGGTGAAATCTGGTGGCTTCAGAGCAAAGGCAACCATAAAAGGAAAGGGATAGAGTCTCATGACTTTTGGTTCATGTGCAGCTAGCAGCTCCCTTTCCCAGCTTTTGCCTCAGAGACCAAGCTGTCACTGGCCCCAGGGCAGAGGGTACCCCTCACTGCTGATGCTGGGGCCTCAACTAGGAAGCAGCCAATGGATGTTAACAAAAGAAACAAACACACATTAGTCTTTCATAAAACTTGTACAGTTTACAAATCTCTTTCATTTACTTTGAGTCTTGCATTCTTGCTGTGAAATAAATATCATTATGCCCAATTTATTCTCATATTGATGACCTAGTATAGGCCATGCATTTTACCAGGCAATTTCAAGTACAACACATTATTTAAACCCCACAAAGACCTGTGAAGCGCAGATTATTATTCCCATTTTAAGGAAAAGGGAATTAAGGTTCTGAGTCGCAGAAAGACGTACTCACTGCCACCCACAAAATCAGTGGCAGAGTCTACATTGGAAGCCAGAACATCTAGTGGCAAAGCCTGTGCTCAGTCCATGGCAGGAGGCTGCTGCAAGACACCCCCCAGCCCACCAGACTGACTCAGCAGCTCAGCTTCTACTGAACACCGCTGCTCTGATGGTTTGAGTTTGTCCCACCATTGTAAGTGGAAGCAGAGGACTTGTCTCTTTAGTGCACAGGACTTCTGATCAAAAGGAGCTTTATCTGAGGAACTGCGCCCAGGAGCCTCACTGGCATCTCAACCTGACTAAATGACAGGATTCTGGACCTTGAGCCTGAATCTAACACCATAATGGGATGAGGCTTTTTGGGGGGTGTTGGGAAGCAGTGGGTATAGTTGGCATGTAGAATAAATGTAATCAATTTGAGGCCAGAGGGAAAAGTGTGGCATGGTAGTTTTAAAACTTGATCCCAAAACTAATTGATATTCCTCCCATTAATGTCCCCTGCCCCTGAATCTAGGTTCTGGGACTTCTTGGCCAATAAAATGTGGCAGAAGTAGTGCTGTGCCAGTTTCCAGGTCCAGGCTTTAATAAATGGACAGCTTCTACTTTCTGTTTCTTGTGACACTTGCTCTTCTAACCCAGCAACCATACTGTGAGGAAGCACAAGCTGCTCTGTGAACAGACCAGTGTGGAAAGTGATATGGACAGGAGGCAGAGAAATACTGGGTAGAAGAGGGTGGGTCCCTGGCGAGGGTTCCACCCTCAAGCCTGGACCCATGGCCCTAAATTAGAAATTCACATGCTCGTTTTCCTGCCTGAATGTTGCCTTTTCCAAAACCACCCTGCCCCCCCACCAGCCTCCCACTCTGTACCCATAAAAATCCCAAGCTCCACTGGCAGAAGAGCAGAATGGAGTGGCAGAGAAGGAGAGTAGAGAAGAAGCAGCCAGATGTAGAAGAAAAGCAGCTTGATTTCAGAGGGACAGCTTGACAGGGACTTCAGAAAAGAGTTTGGCCGGGGACAGCTGAACTCCAGGAGAAGATTATATTCCCACTCTGTCTCCCTTCCAGCTCCCTTTCCCACTGAGAACCACTTCCACCACTCAATAAAATCCTCCGCATTCACCACCCTTCAATTCGTTCATGTGACCTGATTCTTCCTGAACGTCAGACAAGAACTCAGGTACCAAGAGGGCAGGGTATAAAAGGCTGGCACCTTGACCCTCCACTGAGCTAGTAAACACTTAGCCATCCGTGGACAGCAAATGTTAAAAGAGCACTGATTGTAACACACACCCTCTGGGGCTCCAGGGATTGCAGACATCCCTTCCCAGATAGCAGAGCTAAAAGAACATTGTAATGTGCTTGAACCCTGCTGCAGGGCTGCACAGAGCCTGCTCCCACCAGAGAGGAGCAACCGGCCTGTTCCAGCATTCATTTGCATGGGCTCCTGCACCCAATCACCTATGTGTTCACCCTCCTGTGAGGGGTTCAGAGCTCCGGGCTGAGTAAATGAGTCACCCCTTCACAAGTCCTACAAAGGGGTCAAGGGAAATATCCCGTCTCAAAAGGAAATGACAAGCAGCTTTGCTAGCCATGCAAATGATCCATCTTGAAAGAGGATTCCCACATGAGCCACCCCAGCCAATGTTGCATAAAGAAGGAACAAGATGTCCTCACTGAGCCTTAACCTTAACTGAGCAAAATGAGGGATTGTTTTATTTTAAGCCATTATGTTTTGAAATGGTTATACAGCAATAGATAACCACAAGAGAGGAAAACCTAACATTTGAGGAGCCTATACCATACAGCAAGGCCATTGCATTGACAAGCACTCTGAGTTCCTTTAGCAATCCATGTAAACAGATGAAGAAACTGAGGCTCAGAAAGGATAAGTGACTTTCTTGAAATCCCATACCTGGTAAGTGGATCAGCATGGATCTGAATTCTGCCTGGTTGAGGACTCCAATCTCCAGCTTTATCCACTAAACCACAGGGTAATCATACAGACAGAACTTCTCCCCAAATTCCAGCTACCTGTTAACCTGTTTTTAGGGAGATCACACAGAGCCTCCAAGTGCAAGGTAAGCGTACTGGCTTATTTTGTTCTTAGATTGCATGATATGTATTTGGAAATAAACACGTTCAGGTGCGAATTCCAGCCACAACTCCAGGGAGTGTCACCTTGGGGTAGGGCAGTATGGAGTCAGCTGAGCAACTTTCTGGCCGCATCATCTTGGGCTCATTATTTAATTTCTCTCAGCCTCAGTTTCTTCATCTGTAAGACGAGGACAAAAATAGCTACTTCATAGATCTTTTGTAAGAATCTAATGAGAAAATGTTATGTAAATGACGTAACATAGCACCTAACCTATCATAATAAATATTCAGCAATTGAGTGTCCATTTCATTGTGGATTTAGACTTAGAAAAGTTTTCTCGGTTCAGCCCCCAGCCCCAGTAAAGAGAGCCTCACAAGGTCCCAGTGGAGTAGATAAATCCTATCCCTGAGCATAATTTACTTTTACTTGTCCCAGAAAATTTAGCCTTTTTTTTTTTTTTTTTTTTTTTTTTTTGCCACTGCTCCTCCAGCCCCTCCGGACAAGGACAAGAATGAATCTCAAACACAGCCCGTAAGCTTTGCTCACAAATTCCTCCTTCACGACTGACTGAGCCCTGACACTGGAAAGAAACATTCCGTTGAATCATGTAAATCCCCACTCATCTCCAAATTGGGTGCTGCAGTGCCTCAGGGAAGTGATTTTACGACCTCACTGACTTCAGCCAAGGTAGACTCCAGTTGCTCTTGCAAGATAATTCAGCCTGCACCTGGCAGCAAGACTGAGCAGGGCTCCTTCCCTTCTGACTGCAGAAATGGCCCCTTTGGCTGAAGGGGAACAGTTTTTCCCCTAGGAGGCAGAAAAAAAAAAAGTCCTAAGCCACTGGCCTCCTGCAGCCCTCCCCAGAGGGTATAGGTAGATAGAGTTCAGTGATTCAGAGCTCACACCCTGCTGGAACTAAGGATCTCAGATGTTGGCGGAGAGGGCTATTGTGAGAGATGGCAACTCCAATACGAGGTCAAGCTTGCCTGCGCTTTCCCTCACCACCTCCAGGATTTGAGGGGCAGGGTTATGCTATAACGGACTGAGCCACCCTTGTGTCTCCATGCAACAAATGCTTTCTAGCCTGCTATGCCTCTTGGGAGACCTGTTATCTTTTCTTGTACCACTGTCTTTTTAAAAAATTTAACTCCAAATCTGGATCTTGCAATAGATTATTCAACCCACAACCAACTGAGCTGCATGAAGTACGTAGCCCCAGCCTCTGCTTAAAACCACTGCCCTGTCTACCCAAAATGCTATGGTTGCCTCATCATAAGTGGCACAATTCCTCATTTTGGTTTGAAAGGTTCCTTTATTCTCAAGTCATTGGGAACCCAAGTCCTATTGCAAATATTAGAAAACAGGTCAGCAGCTCCACCAAGAATCATAATTATAAAAATTACTATCAGTTTTTGAAAGCTTAGTCTCCAAGTGCTTCATAACCACTCTATCATGTATTTCTTGCTTCAGCTCCTCAAAGTAGATATTACTGTCTGCATTTTATATATGCAGACACAGCTTCAAGAATCAAGTAATTTGTCCAAAGTCACACAGCTGATACGTGGCAGGGTTAGAACTCCAGCTCTGCCAGCACTCACCAATGCTAAACTCCCTGGGGAAAGTTCTTCTCTGATGGCTGTCCACACTACAGAAGGACACACTCTCCAGACTGGCTATGTGACATTGCTTGCCTTTCCTGGCCGCACTCAGCTGGAGGCCTTCAGAGCCATCATCCACAGCTCATCTTTTTCATGTCCTGAGTTCATTGCAAGCTAGAGTTCTTCTCTGTCCTCACCAGCAGAGAGTGGTTAGCATTTGTCTTGTAGCCCCTAGCTCACGCTGGCGTGCTCAGGAACCAATGACCTCACCAAAATCAAATATCTACTGTGTTTGCCCAGGCCATATTCCCCCTGTTGTCTGGGTTCTGCTTTCAGGGCTGGAGTAGATCAGTAGAAATTTTTTTTTTACAGAGGACAGAGCCGTGATGGAGATTCCTAGGGAAGTCCAGGAGACCAGAATCAGCAGATGTTCACATATCATCCATAATCTCTTCATGAAGAGTGAGAAATGACTGACAGGGTTTTCCTTGTGAACTGGTGGAGCCCAGATGATGCAGTCTATATGGGTTGATCTTCCTCTTCCAAAGGAAACTGCCCTGCACACACCACAATCCTGAGCTGTCATGTTTAGCCTGTGACCCTACCTACCCTGGCAGCCCCCAGAATGCACTAGGCTGGACACCTGACCAAACGCCAGTTATGATGTGACCGAATATGGAAAGTTCTGCCCGGAGAGAAATATGGCCAATCGTATTTTCACTCTGGAAAACCTGAATTGAAAGATATAGGGAGAATCAGTAGCAGAAAGTGAGGCTGGTTGAATGCCCAGAGAGAGGCTATGCGGTAGAACAGAGGCCCTGAATAAACTGATGTTATGTGCAAACAAAATTACGGCAGTGTGGAAACCTGAGTAACCAGAACTCTGAGAAAGACCAAGGACATTTGAGGAAGCAAACTGTTGGCAGAAAGAGAAGCAGAGTTAAACCAATAGTTAGAAAAAGGTCAGCGGCGCTAATGGTGGACCACTGGGTTGCAGAGCCAGCAAGCCCTGACGCTGAGATTTCTGCAGGTGCCCTGGACCAGGTGCCTTGACTGGAAGGTCTGGCCACACTGTGGCACCTGTTCTCAGATGCCTGGGACATGCCCTTTTCCTTCATGGCCAAGGGCATCTTTATGGCAACACGTTCACCTAGTCCTCCCCTTTCTGGTGCTGTTCCGTATAAAAGTCTTTTCATTACGACGAAGAGAATGCTGCTAATACTATAGTCCCGTAGAGTTGTATTTGTGTGAGGTACTTGGTTTATTGGTATTTTGTAGACTCTGCACTCAACAGAGGCTGTACATTATCTGTGGGCATCTAAAAAACAAGGGGCTACATTTGTGGCCGCCAATAAGCAAATGGGGGAGTTATGGTGCTGTGCAGTTTTCTTAGTTTTGTCTTTGGTTCCAATTTATGCCTTTGTCCCCACGGTTTTAAATTTTACTTTAACTTTTGTGATTTTACAGTTTATATATTGTTCTTAGCTCCTTTCTAAAACAAGATATATGTAAATAAATATTTATGAAGAGGCGATATATATAAATCAGGGCCCTTGTGGAAAACAGAATTCACCCCAGGTGGTTGAAAAGCAGAGATTTTAATGACAAGACATCTCAGGGAGTTGTGAATAGGGTTGAGGGAATTGACAAGGAAGAGTGGAGCACCCAGCACGGAGCAAGAGCAGGAAGCCATTACCACACAGATGGTAGAAGGAGCAAGGTGGCAGGGGAAAGATGATCACTAGATCCCCACGGGGATGGGGGCCATGAGGAGGGTTGGTGGGAGCTCCAGTTGCTGGAAGGGTACCAGGAGTGGCAGAGTTTCACGCCCAAGTAGGAAGAGGGGCAGGGAAGAAATACCTCACCTTCCTTCTTATCTCACTTTGGGACCTCCTGCTGGAGCTTCCTAACCTGAACAGGCAGCAAAGAAGTCCAGGTGGTGCAGTCTCCCAGGGCACAGACAACGGCTGAGAAAGGTGGAGGACAGGTGTGGAGGGGTACTAAGGATAAACAGCAGAGATGAGCATGAGGTCTTAGGCTAATGCTCACAAACAGGGATCAGGCCTGGAGGAATGGGTGGGTAGAAATGAGTGGTTCAAGACCAGTTCTGTGAATGGGGAGCAGGTGCTGGGCTCACAGTGCCGCCTGATGGCAAACCTTGTGGCAAATGGGCTTTTTCTCTAGGGGCGTCAGCTTTTTCTTGTTTCTGGAGCACTGAGCTGACCCCCAGAGTCCTGGTAATCTTCAGAATGCCTGCAACTCACCTTCTTCCAAGCTCTACACGTTGCACCTCCAAGTTCCCTAGACACTAGCTATCTTAGTCCATTCGGGCTATGATAACCCAGAATACTCATAGACTTGGTGGCTTAAACAACAAGCATTTTATTTCTCACATTGCTAGAGGCTGGGAAGTCCAAGATCAAGGCCCCAGCAGATTCAGTGTCTAGTGAAAACCCACATCCTTGTTCACAGACACCAGCTTCTCACTGTAACCTCACATGGTGGAAGCAGTGAGGTAGCTCTCCATGGCCCCCTTTTTTTTATATATTATACTTTAAGTTCTAGAGTACATGTGCAAAATGTGCAGGTTTGTTACATATGTATCCATGTGCCAGTTGGTGTGCTGCACCCATCAACTTGTCATTTACATTAGGTATATCTCCTAATGCTATCCCTTCCCCCTCCCCCCACCCTACGACAGGCCCCAGTGTGTGGTGTTCCCCTTCCTGTGTCCAAGTGTTCTCATTGTTCAATTCCCACCTATGAGTGAGAACATGTGGTGTTTGGTTTTTTGTCCCTGCGATAGTTTGCTGAGAATGATGGTTTCTAGCTTCATCCATGTCCCTACAAAGGACATGAACTCATCCTTTTTTATGGCTGCATAGTATTCCATGGTGTAAATGTGCCACATTTTCTTAATCCAGTCTATCATTGATGGACATTTGGATTGGTTCCAAGTCTTTGCTATTGTGAATAGTGCCATGGCCCCTTTTATAATAGCACTAATCCCATTTGTAAGGGCTCCACTCTCATAACCTTAGCACCATCCAAAGGCCCCGCCTCCAAATATCATCACATCGGGGGTTAGGATTCAACTTATGAATCTGGGGGGCACACAAACATTCAGTCGTTTGCCCCAGCAGAGGCTCTGAGCTTTATCAGCTCTTATTGTTCTGCTTGTCACACAGTCAGGAAAAGGTCTCCAAGTAGTCACAGCAGCTGATGGGAGCCTTGGTTTACAGGTTCACATTCCCACTGCCTGCTGCTTTGTTCCCTGTGCTTGAGAAAAAGGCCTTCTCAGCTCAGTGAAGGGCCTCAGTTCTCTGGAGAACACATAGCCCTGGAAACATGCTTTTTCTTTAGAGCTAAGGGATTCGGTAAGCCTGCCTCCACACCCGAGCGGGTCCACCTTCACCCACTCCTCATCCCTACAATGGCTTCAAAGCAAAACCTCATTCATCCAGGCCCACAGACTCAGAATATGTGACAATGTAGAATCCAGCAACTCTGTTCAAATGTATTTGTTGCCATCTGTAGGGAAACAAGAGACCTTATCAAAGTAGAAAGCTAACATTTATTGAGCTAGGTACTCATGTATACTGTCTCATTCCAGGTTTGTGTTCATTCTGGGAGATAGGTATTGTATTATAGAAACCGAAGATGGAGGAGGTTCAGTTATTTGCCCAAAGTCTCAGTTTTACTGACTCACAGAGGCAAGGTTCAGGCTCTGTTTTTCTGGAGTCAAGGAACCATGCTTGTCCCATCACACGACACTGCTGCTTGGCAAGAGAGTGATGCTCATACAATTGATTGGAAAGAATAGGAGGGCTCTTTGAAAACAACAATTTTGTTTATTAGAAGAGGATCTCTTCTGGCTGGAAGTAGTGATTCATACCTGTAATCCCAGCACTTTGGGAGGTTGAGGCAGGAGGACACATTTTCTTGAGCCCAGGAGTTTGAGGCCAGCCTGGGCAACATAGCGAAACACACACACACACACACACACACACACACACACACACACACACACACACATTCTCTCTCTCTCTCTCTCTCTCTGTGTGTATATATATATGTCTGTGTGTATGTATATATATATACATACATATATGAGAATATCTTCTGAGCTTCATTATTATATTGTATGCCTACAGAGTTAGAAATAATAAAACTATATTTCCTAAAACAATTTGCTATTGCTCACTATTCAGTTGTTTGGACAAGAGTACTCTGACTCACTTCCCTTGTGCTGTGGAAAGAATGAGAGTTATACACAGTGTTACTGCACACGCATCACACACATACCTTCCAGTCGCCTTCCCCAGCCCATCAAATTCCACAGCCTTCAGGGCAAATATCTCATGCCCACTAGGGCCAGAATTCACATCCTCTGATTTGGGTTTTAAAGACAAAGATTTACACAGGGTAACAATCTTTTTTTTTTTTTTTTTTTTTTTTTTTTGCTGTGGTTGTCTCCAATTTCCCATTGTCTGAATCATAGCCATGGAATAAAGTGCATCTTTTTCTAACATAGAATATATTACTCCTGAAATAGTAGGAAATGTTGATAATTGCCTTTTATTGGACTTACAAATAATTTATAAGTTGGTCCGGTTAAAAAAAAAAAGTATCATAGTCTTTTATTTCTTTCGTTTCTTCCTCCAGGCTAGAAGCAACCTCTAAAAATAGCTACCTGTGCAGGGATGGGCCTAGCGCTCCCCCTGGTGGTCATAGTGCAGGATTGCGGCTTCCGTAAATGGACCTGAAGCGGCAGACCCTGCATTTGAATTAATTCTTTCTCCCCTAAGTACACAGAGAAATGTGATTTGTTCTTCCCAGTCATGCCTGCATTACAGAGCACTTCTGCTTATAAAGTCCATCTGCTTTGAGGGTAAGTAAATGATCAATTCCTCATATACATTATTATGTGGTGAACATTTTTCTCAAGTAACAACAGCCTCTGTGGTTCTATCAAATGTCAGGGGGGCTGGGGGTTTCTTCTTCCCTTAAGAAGATACTGAGGGAAGAAATATCAGCTGACCTTTGCATAAGCAGTGTAACTACGTATGGAGGGGATTAGCTAAATACGACTGTGTATGGGGGGTGGAGGCGGAGGAGAAAAAGGAAGAGAAGCAAGAGAAACAGACGCGGAAGGAGTCGGTAGAACGAGACGGTTAGCTTAGAATCCCGGCCCCACTTACAAGCTGCACCAGGAGGGATCCTGGGATGGCCCTCCACAGGGGTGACAGGGAGATGCTCGCCCTCTTCCTCTGGGCACGAAGAAGACTGTTCCCCAGCCTCCCTTGCAGTTGGCCACGCTACTAGATTCTGGACAGTAGGACGTGGGCAAAAGTGATGCCACACTTCCAGGCCTTACCTCTGAAGCTTCCCTGAAGATTTTTCACACACTCTGTCTCTAAATCCACACCAACGGAAACAAAATATTCCAAAACGTCAGGATCACACAAGGGAGGTGAACCAAATCCATGAATCATCATCTAAAGGACACCCACCCAGGAAAGCCACCTAATTCTCATTAGATTGTGATGTGAGCAGGAAATACTCATATATATGGTAAAGTGCTGAGATATGATGACTGTTTGTTAGAGCAGCCAGGTTCAACTACCCTGACTATTAAAGGAAGTCACTGAATCCCCCTGGGCCACCATTTCCTCATCTAAAGATAGGGTAAATATATAAAGAATCAACAAAACAATGTATGTGAAAACATTTGGCATCTATCAGGGCTGAATAAATGCTGATTTAAAAGCTATCGTGAGGCCGGGCGCGGTGGCTCACGCCTGTAATCTCAGCACTTTGGGAGGCCGAGGCGGGCGGATCACGAGGTCAGGAGATCGAGACCATCCTAGCTAACATGGTGAAACCCCGTCTGTACTAAAAATAGAAAAAATTAGCCGGGCGTGGTGGCGGGCGCCTGTAGTCCCAGCTACTCGGGAGGCTGAGGCAGGAGAATGGCATGAACCTGGGAGGCGGAGCTTGCAGTGAGCCGAGATGGCGCCACTGCACTCCAGCCTGGACGACAGAGCAAGACTCCGTCTCAAAAAAAAAAAAAAAAAAAGCCATTGTGCTTCACACAAGCAATATTTTCATGCTGGAAGAGCATTTTTGTGGCTATTACCCAGGTTTTTATTTGTAAGAAAAAGAAGATCCAACTCCAATGGGCGAACTGAAAGGGGATTTTATTGGCTTCCAGAGCTGGAAACTTCAAGCCTAGATGAAGCCTTAGACCTGGTTTAATCCATTCAGCAACTCAAGGACCACTCTTTATTCTGCTTGGTAAAGCTTCATTCTTAACCTGACTCCCCTGATGGTCAAAGATGGCTGTCAGCAGCTCCTGCTACTACATGTTCCTAGTGAGCTTTAAGGGCAAGAGGAAACCCCATCCCAATATTTCGAGAAAAAAAATCCCCTGATTGGACTGGCTTAGATCATATGCTTACAAGTGAACCCATCCCTTTGTTGAGATGGAGAATATGTGCTGATGAACTGCCAATCAGTTCCCACATTTGGGGCTGGTGGGAATCTGATTGGTGGAGGCAGGGGGGGAGGGACGGAGGGGGAGGAACCAGCTTTTCCTTAACTCACAGAGGGATTTAAGTGGGAGTGGGGGAAGTATGAAAGCACACATTTTTTTTTTTAATAATGTTTTAAAGCCGAGGGAAAGGGGAGCAGGGATAAGTGTATTCTAGCGAGTCTACCAAAAATGGGTGCCACAATTGGTATGTTTTTTTTCCCTTGACGTAAGAAAGAAGTTGTAGGGGTAGATGGTTAATATTATTTTGTGATCACTCAGAATGGTCATTTAACCTTTCAGAAATCTGTAAGTTAACTGGACATTATGGGTTTCAACTTCCTAACCTCTGACAATGAGTTTCCTAAAATATCCTCAGATATCGACTTCTTGAAATATGCTCAGATTTTGACTTCCTGTCTCTCTTGACAGTGCAGTGTTTTTTTTTTTAAAGTTTTGTAAGAATAATTTAATTCCTTGCTCTTCTGCTTTTCCTCCCTCTTTATTTCTTTGTATTGTCCTTTGATTTTGTGCAAGTGTTTTAGAAAGCATAAGGTTCTGTACAAATGGGAGGGATTTTTCTTCTCCTCTGCTCTTCATGCCTAAGGTAAATCATATGATACTTAATCATAAAATCATGAGACTGATTTTTTAAACAGACTACTTAGATATTCGAATGAGTACTGCTCTTCTGAGCAGTCACCTGGAGAGGTGAACTTCATATTCCAATGAATATTTGAGCCACAGCTCAATTCGTATTAATTATGCCTCAATTTTAACAAAAAGCATAATGGCTTGATCAACTGAATTATGCATCTGATTTAATTCCCAAGCCCCTGTAATGTTTCAAAAAAATGAAAAAGAAGAAAAGAAAACCACAACTGAATCTATGTTTGCAAATCCAAAGCAAAGATTTGTCTTCTTAAATAACATATCTTAGGATCTGAAGGCAACTGTCCATGGAGAGTTACAAAAATATTTTGGATCCCGGCATTAGAATAAATGTTGAAGAGCAAACACTCAGGAGGGTGCATGAGTTTTCCATTTGCTTAATAGAAGAGGAGGAGGAAGAGCAGGGAGGAGAAGGAGACACAGGAAGGCGGCAGGGTGTCACACTCTTCCCCTACATCCAAGATGATCTGGACCACCCTCTTTCAGCCACCCTGCAGCAGAATTCTCCCAGCCTACAGGCTAAATCTGAAGTCCTCAGCACACAATTCAAAGCGCGCATTGTGGCTACACATTCTGGGATGTGTAGTCTTTCCCTCCTGGGATGGCTTTCCTGACACACCCTGCACTTCTGCCAGAGCCAGAGTTCTCTCTGCTCCCTGAGAATGCCAGACCCATTCCAGAAGCTGTGCCCCGATCACACTGTTGCCTCTTCTGAAACAGCCTCTCCCTGCTTTCATGTCAAACTCTCATGCCTCATCAAGACCCAGCTCATGCTATCTCCTCCAAAAAGCTTTCTGAACCCTTTCCTTCCACAAAAAAAGGACATCATTGCTCCTTCTATTTTGCTCTAGTGGCTTAAGAAAAGTCAATTATGGTATTTACTGTTTTCTCTTGTATTATGTGTATCCCTTATGCCTGCCATGAGAGAGGTTGCCCACAGATGCATTCTTCAGCCCTGCCCTGTTCTCCCCCATATGGCAGGACCTCTGACCCCTACAGGCTGCAGGTCTCAGGCTTCTGCATCAGTTGGCTTCTGTCTGGGCTTGGCCAATGGAAGGCACTCACAGGAGACTACTGAAAGATGGGAGGAAGGAAGAAGCCAGGGTACTTCTTCTCTTCTCTAGAAGCCTCAGAAGGTAGAGGTGGCCATTACTTTCCCTTACTGATTCTCACGCTTCCTCTGAGTGATTCTAGCTCCTAGACCCTAATACACCACCTCCAATTTGTCCCTGTAGCTTAGTGGCTCCCAGCTCTTGCTAATCCCTGGGTATCCTCACAGCTCTCCTGGTGTAACCAATTGTCCATATTAAATTTCCTGCTTCCAATATGTAGAAAGATTTCTGTTTTCCTAACTGGACCCTGGCAGATACATCAGCTCATCTCCCCATCCAGGAGTTCCTGAGAATGGTCGGTTTAATAATAAAACCAGTGAATGGGTGAATGGAGAAACATGTTTACTTATCATAAATCATGTTTATATTTATACTTTCCAAGACACTTTCATGGCTCTGGGAAAGTTATCCACTTTTCCTAACTAGGTTCCCCATCCCCAGTCCTCTTGTTCAAGTTAACCCACACTCAAGTCCTGCATAGCATCTGTGTCACTGACAGATGGTGAGATACTGGGTGTGGAGTGAGATCATCACAATCAGAACAGTTAGAGAATCCAGAAAAACTGAGAGTGTTGGCAGGGGCCCTTAGGACAATGGCAAAGGATCCATTATCCTTCTGCTCTTCAGGTCTCATATGTGACTTTAGCCAGAGTGAGGCCAATTTACAGTTATTCCTAGAGCCCAGTGCAATTTGCACATGATGAGAAGATGCACATTCATGGCCAAAGTGGAAGATTTGGATAACAGGCTGGCTGCAGAAATGCTCCCCTATGCATGAGGCCAGCACATGGCCGCATGGTCTCCTCAGTGCTGCCCAGAGCATTATTATATTTCCATATTGGTCTGGAGGCCAAATGAATAGAAACCAGGCATTTAAAAGGGATCTGGGAATGGCCAGCAGTTAACGCTCCCACTACAGTGGAGGATGGTTCTACCCTTTCCTGACCCATACATCTCTCAAATCACTTTGGTCCTTCTAAAGCCTTGGCTGTAAATGAGGCTGACCAGCTATTGAGAAGAAGCTTAGACCTAAAATGAGAAAAGGAAAATAATCCCACCAAATGAAATCTCACCAGAAAGGTAACATGTTTATTAAAAAAAAAAAAAAAAAAAAAAACAAACCAGTTATTGTAGGGTTAGCACTGAGCTAGGTAGAGAATGAGTAAGAACAAATTTCTGCCCTTGAAGGCCCCACTGCCTACTTGACAGAGACAGGCACATGGGCAGAGGGACAAAGGCAAGGTGGTGAGCTGAGCTGGAGTCCAGAGGCTCAGTGTATGGCCCATGCACAGCAGGTAAGAATACATGTTCTGGATGGGGCTGACCAAAGGCAAACCCCAGCCCTCCCACTGACCAGCCTTTTAACCTGATCTGCGTGACCCTCATTTCCCTGGGTCTTGGCTTTCTCATCTGTAAAATGGGGGGTGAGTGCCCACTCACAGTTGTTGTGAAAATAAAATGAGTTTATGCACCAGAAGTTCTTCATGCCTAGTCTGATGCAAGCCCACACAAGAACACTGGTGTTGTCATAATGGATGGCCTCTGGTGGCAGTAGTGAAATTCCTCCAACAGCTTTGTGGGCCCTGGATTGGAGCTGGAAAGAAAGACCATGGTGAATGCCACTTGTGATGGGTCCAGCTGACAGTCGGACTTGGGGGCCCTTGGGAAACTGCCTTTGAAGATCCTCAGAAATACTTGGGAGGGTGGTGAGTTTATGAAGGACTCACAGAGGCTACCATATGGATAGGAATAAAACCAGTTGTGTTGTTGCAAGACCAATTATGGGATGAATGATGAAGGAACTGTGGAAATACAGAACTAAGTAAATCACCTTCTGCTGTCATCAGAGAAGGCTCAATGCAGGGGCATCACTGGCACTAGCTCTGGAAGGTTAAGGGACATGGCACAGGT